>NC_000003.12:154917695-155220725 GCF_000001405.40 Homo sapiens
TCCCAAGTATGCAGGGCTGATTCAACTTTTAAAAATTCATTATTATAATCAACAGTCTAAAAATTACATGATTATATCAGTAGATGAAGAAAAAGTATTTGACAAAATCCAACACCCATTCTTGAAAAAAACTCCCACCCATTCATGATAAAAACTAATAATAGAAAAGAACGTCCTCAATAAAGAACATCCACAGAAACCTACAGATAATATATTTAATGGTGAGAAACTTGAAATCTTCTCGCTAAGATCAAGAACAAGGTAAGACTGTTGCCTCTCACTACTGCTTTTCAACATCATACTGAAAGTACTAGCTACTGCAATATATCAAACCAAAAAGGAAATAAAAAGCATAGAGATTGAGAAAGAAGCAATAAAACTGTCTTTGTTTACAAATGACTTGGTTGTCTACATAGAGAATCCAAAAAAATTGTCCCACCGCCCCCCAAAAAAAGCCTCCTGAATCTAATAAGCAATTGTAGAAAGGTTGCAGGAAACAGAGTTTATATGCAAAAGTCAGATACTTTCCTGCATAACATTAAACAAGTCAAATTTCAAATTAAAACCAAATTATTTACATTAGCACCCCAAAAATTAAATACTTCGGTATAAAACTAGCACAATTGTACAAGATCTATATGAGAGAACCTACAAAACTCTGATGAAACACATCAAATCAAAGAAGATTTAAATGGCAAAGAACATAGACAAAAAATTCAATATTATCAAGATGTCAGTTCTTCCAACTTGATCTATAAATTTAATGCAATTCCCATCACTATCCAACCAAGTTACTTTGTGGATATTGACAAATTGATCCTAAAGTGTATATGAAGAAGCAAACCCAGAATAGCCACATAATATTAAAGGAGAAGAACAAAGTTGGAGGACAAACACTACCTGATGTCAAGACTTACTATAAAGCTACAGTAATCAAGACAGTGTGGTATTGGTGAAAGGAATAGGCAGATCAGTGGAACAGAATGGAAATCCCAAAAATAGACCCACATAAATATACCCAACTGATCTTTGACAAAAAAGCAAAGAAAATACAATGGAGCAAAGATTGTCTTTTCAACAAATGGTACTAGAACAACTAGACATCCACATGCAAAAAGATAAATCTAGATACCAACATACATCCTTCACAAAAATTAAATCAAAATGAATCCTAGACCCAAATGTAAATATATATATATTTTATATATATATAAAACTTATGGAAGATAACATAGGAGAAAATCTAGATGACCTTGAGTGTAACAATGACTTTTTAAATATAACACAAGAAACACTATCCATGAAAGAAATAATTGATAAGCTGAACTTCATTAAAATTAAAAATTTCTGCTCTGTGAAAGACAATATAAAGAGGATGGAAAGACAAACCACAGATTGGGAGAAAATATTTGCAAAACACACATCTGAATAAGAACTGTTATCCAAAATATACAAAGAACTCTTAAAACTCAACAATAAGAAAACACACAACCTGATTTAAAAATGGGTTAAAGACTTAAACAGACATTTCAACAAGATTATACCGATGACAAATAAGCATATTAAAAGATGTTCTGCATCATGTCATCAGAGAAAGGCAAATTAAAACAACAATGAGATACCATTACTTGCATATTAGAATGGCCATAATCCAAAATACTGACAACAAGAAACACTGATGAGGATGTGGAGCAACAGAAACTTTTATTCATTGTTGGTAGGAATGCAAAATGGTACAGTTACTTGGAAGACAGTTTAGCAGTTTCTTACAAAACTAAACATATTCATACCATATTTTTCAGCAATTGCTCACTTGGTATTTATCCAGATGAGTTGAAAACATATCCAAACAAAAACACACACACAGATATTTATAGCAACTTTATTTACAATTATCAATACTTGGAAGCAACAAAGATGTCCCTCAGGAGATGAATGGATTAATAAACTGCAGTACTTCCAGACAACAGAATATTATTTGGTGTTAAAAAGAAATAAACTATCAAGCCATGAAAAGGCATGGAGGAAACTTAAACACATATTGCTAAGTAAAATAAGTCAGTCTGAAAAGAAGGTAACATTAAAGAGAAGGCAGAAAAATAAATAGGACGAGGAAGGAGACCAGTATGCCTGCATTTGAAAATTAATTTTAGAGTAGTGAGACAATCAATTAAAATGATAGGATGAGCCTCAAACTCTACAAATCAGAGATTAGATTTAGTGTGGTAAGAATTAAGGAGATGCTATCAACTATAGAGCTGATGTTGACATTTTTAAAAACTTGTCTATTAGAATTCTTTACCAAGGAAAAATATTTGTTGAAACAAAGGTAAAATAAAGACTTATTCAGACATACAAAATCTGAATTCATCACTAGCAGACTGCTTATTACAAGAAAATTTTAAGGAAGTTTATCAGCAGAAAAAAATGATACCAGATGAAAATGTGCATCTATATAAAGGAATAAAAAGCACTAGAAATGGTAATTATATAATTAGAAAAACTTTTGTATTAGTCTGTTTTCACACTGCCATAAAGAAATATCTGAGACTGGGTAATTTATAAAGAAAAGAGGTTTAATCAGCTCATGGTTCTGCAGGCTTCCTATAGGAAGCATGACTGGGGAGGCCTCAGGAAACTTCCAATCATGGTGGAAAGTGAAGGGGAAGCAAGCGTGCCTTCACATCTCCAGAGCAGGAGGAAGAGAGCAAGGGGGGAGGTGCCACACACTTTTAAACAACCAGATCTCATGGGCATTCACTCACTATCATGAGAGCAACACCTAGGGGGAAATCTGCCCCACTTGATCCAGTCACCTCCTACCAGGCTCCACCTCCAATAATGGAGATTACAATTTGACATGAGATTTTGGGAGGACACAGATCCAAACCATATTATTCTGCCCAACCCTTCCCAAATCTCATGTCCGCACATTTTGAAACACAATCATGCTTTCCCAACAGTCTTCCAAAGTCTTAACTCATTCCAGTATTAACTCAAAAGTCGAAAGTTAAGTCTCATCTGAGATAAGGCTAGTACCTCCCACTTATAAGCCTGTAAAATCAGAAACAAGTTAGTTGCTTTCAAGATACAAAGGGGGTATAGGCACTGGGTAAATACTCATTTTCCAAAATGGATAAATAAACCAAAGGAAAGGAGCAACAGGCCCTGTGCAAGTCCAAAACCCAGCAGGAAAGTCATTAAATCTTAATGCTCCAAAATAATCTCCTTTGACTCCATGTCCCAGATTCAGGGCATGCTGATTCAAGGGGTGGACTCCCAAGGTCTTGAGCAGCTCTGCACCATTGGGTCTGCAGGGCTGAGCCCTCATGTCTACTCTCAAGGGCTGGCATTGATTGCCTGGGGTTTTTCCAGGCACTCAGTGCAGGCTGCAGGTGGATCTAGCATTCTGGGGTCTGAAAAATGGTGGTCCTCTTCTCACAGTTCTACTAGGCAGTGCCCAGTGGGGATTCTGTGTGGGGGCTCCAACCCCACATTTCCCCTCTGCACTGCCCTAGTAGAGGTTCTTCATGAGGGCTCTGCCTCCACAGCAGACTTCTGCCTGGACATTCAGGCTTTTTCATATATCTTCTGAAATCTAGGCAGAGGCTACCAAGCCTCAACTCTTGCACTCTGCACACCTGCAGGTCCAGCACCATGTGGAAGCTACGAAGGCTTATGGCTTGCACCCTCTGAAGCAGTGAGTGGCCTAAGTGCCTGGGCCCCTTTGATCCATGGTTGGAGTCCCCAAGGATGCAGGGAGCAGCATCTCAAGGTTGTGCAGAGCAGTAGGGCCCTGGGCCTGGCCCACGAAACTATTTTGCCCTCCTGGGCCTGTGATGAGAGGGGCTCCCATGAAGGTCTCTGAAATGCCTTCAGGTCTTTTTCCCATTGTCTTGGCTATTAGTACTTGCCTTCCTTTTAGTTATGCAAATTTATGCATCTGGCTTGAATTCCTTCCCCAGAAAATGGGATTTTCTTTTCTACCACATGGCTAGGCTGCCAATTTTCCAAATTTTTATGCTGTGCCTCCTTTTCAAATATAAGTTTCAGTTTCAGATAATTTCTTTGCTTATGCATATGTGCATAGACTTTTAGAAGTAGCCAGGCTACATCTTGAATGTTTTCCTTCTTAGAAATTTATTCTGCCAGGTACCCTAAATAATCTCTCTCAAGTTTAAAGTTTCTTAGATCCCTAGAACAGGGATAAAGTGTAGCAAGAGTGACCATTACTCCATATCCCAATAAGCCACCTTTACTTATTAAAGTGACCTTTACTCCAATTCCTCATTTCCATCTGAGACCTCCTCAGCCTGGACTTCACTGTCCCTATCACTATCAGCATTTTGGTCACAACCATTCAAGTCTTAGGAAGTTCCAAACATTACCTCATCTACCTGTCTTTTTCTGAGCCCTCCAAACTGTTCGAACCTCTGCCCATTACCCAGTTCCAAAGCTGCTTCCACATTTTCAGGTGTCTTTATAGCAATGCCCCACCTCTTGGTACCAGCTTTCTGTATTAGTTCATTCTCGCCACTGCTATAAAGAAATACTGGAGACTGGGTAATTTATAATGAAAAGAGATTTAATTGGCTCACAGTTCTGCAGGCTGTACAAGAAGCATGGCTAAGGAGGCCTCAGGAAGCTTACAATCATGGTAGAAAGCGAAGGGGAAGCAGGCATGTCTTCACATGGCCAGAGCCAAAGGAAGAGAGCAAGGAGGGAGGTGCCACACACTTTTAAACCATCAAATCTGGCTAACACTCACTCATTATCACAAGAGCAGCACTGAGGGGGAAATCTGCTTTCATGATTCAAGCACCTCCCACCAGGCCCAACATCCAACACTGGGGATTACAAATTGACATGCGATTTGGTCAGGGATATAGACCCAAACTATATCAAATTTCTTGTTTTTTAAAATGTCTTTTAAAAACTGTTAAAAGAAAAAAAAACAGTGTATCATAGGATCTTAGGATCTATAATATATGTAAAAGTAAAATATATGACAATAATATTACAAAGGCCAGGAGGGGAGACATGAAAGTGTACTGACATGAGGTTCTTATTATATATATGCTGTGGTATACATATAAGAAAAGCTGTGATAAGTTAAAAATTTATGCTTCAAAGTATACATAACACATACACATAACACATAAATACAACAGAGTTATAATTAATAAACCAAAAAAGTAAATAAGATGAAATAATTTTTTAAAAAATCCAAAAGAAGCCAGAAAATACAGTAAAGGGGAACTAAGAGCATATAGAAAAATTGAAAACAAATAAGAATATGATAGACTCACATGCACCTATATCAGTAATTTCATTAATTATTAATTAAGCACTCCAATTAAAAGGCAGAAGTTGTATTGAAAACAAACAAACAAACAAATGCTACCAAGAAGAAAACCACCTTAAATTAAAAAAAACCACACAAATAGGCTACATGTTAAAGGATGGAAAAAGATATATCATGCTACCATTAATCACTCATATTAATATTAGATAATACAGATTTTAGAGCAAAGAATATTACCAGGGATAAAAAGGGCCATTTTATAATGATAAAAGGTTCTATTCATCAAATGGACATACAATTCTAAATGTTTTTATACCTAATAACAGAGTTTCAAATTACATGAAGGAAAAATTGATTAATCTGCAAAGAAAAATATATAAATTCTCAGTTATAGCTGGAAATTTCAACATACATCTCAATAGTTGATAGAAGAAATAGACAGAAAATCAGTAAGTATATTGAACCTTGAGTAATACTACCAAACTAACTTGACCAACTAGAAAACTATTAGAATGATCCACCCAGAAACAACAAAATACACATTGTTTTTCAAGTGCACAGTAAGGATTTACCAAGATAGACCACATTCAGGGTGATAAAACAAGTCTTACTAAATTTGAAAGGTTTTATGGTATAGAAAATATGTTGTATAAACGTAGCAGAATTAAACTAAAATCAATAAGAGATACCTGACAAATCCCAAATATTTGGAAATTAAATAACACTTCTGAATAACCCGTGTATCAAAGAAAGATTTTTTTATAAATCAGAAAATATTTTGAACTGAATGAAAATGTGGAATGCAGTATGTGAGGGGAAATTATAGTAGCAATGGCTATATTAGAAAAGAAAAAGAAGGCCTCAAATTAATAATCTTAGCCTCTACATTTAAAAACTAAAAAAAAAGTAAATTAAACTTCAATTAAGCAAAAGTTGTTTATAAAAAATTTAATGCCAAGGAACTTAACTTAGACTGAGGGGGAAAAAATAATCAAATGTCCACCAACCCTCACTTACGAATAATGGGAATAGCCTAACATTTATTAAAACATTGAGTTTATAGTTAAAAATCTTCCTATAAAAATTCAGGCCCAAATACCTTCTTTAGGGAATCTTACCAAATATTTAAGAAAGAAATATCACCAATCCTAAACAAAGTCTCTGAAAAAAATGAAAAGCAAAGAATACTTCCCAACACATTGTATGGTGCCAGCACCACACTAATACCCAAATCTGACAAAGACATTACAAGAAAACTGCAAGCTAATACCGCTCATGAACATATATGCGAAATTTCCAAACTATCTAAAATCTTAGCCTGTTTCTTTGATGGTCAGAAAGTGCCTGCACCTTATGGTCTCCCTTTATAATCACAATTGGTATATATACAAATTAACTGCATTTATGCATTCAGAATTTGTAGAGGGGTACATTTTCTAGTTTTAAAGCCATTTTTTGTTAAACTTTTTAGTGAAGCTTAATAAACATAGAGAAAAGAGTCTATTTATAGAGCACAGCTCAATGAACTTTAATGCACTAAACACATCCATATAACCAAACCAAGCTCAAGAAACAAATCGTCGGCAAAACCAGAAGCCCCTTTGTGAAGCCTTCTTGTCACTACCTGCTCCCTCTAATAGTATCAATTTTTCTGACTTCTAACAGCAAAGATTGGTTTGAAGGCATTTAATTTTATCAGTCAGCTTTTTTAAATGTTTATTCTGCTTGACATTCATCTAAAATTAGTGTGTAAATATTTTTGAATGATCGCCCATTTTATTAAAACATATTTTGTACATATCCCCTGCTATTTATTTTTAAATTACACAAATATCAGGTTTTAAAAACTTGAATTATTATTTCCTAGCACAATATATACCTGAAGCATGGTTCATTAATAATATAAATCTATTTTTCAAATGGATTTTCAGATAGTTACAGTTTTATAACAGATTTCATAACAGATTTCTCATATGTAATTCAATAATGATTTTTTAATTGGAATGTAGTTATGAAGTGTCTTGAGGCTTATTTGTGCTGAATTTTAACATAATCTCAACTTGAGTTTTTATATGAGAGAATCTTTAGACCACTTGTCTGTTTTGTGAGGATGAATGTAGTTAAAAACTGATTAATATTTTCTCTAAGTCTATATAGCTAAGCACACATAAATGGCAATACATCCCAGATTTCTAAGGGACAGCAAATAAGTGATGGCTCCACTCTCATTCCTTCATGGGGGTGTATTAGTCAGAGTTCTTCAGAGAAATAGAAACAATAGGCTATCTCTCTCTCTCTCTTTGCATATATATAGATATATATATGTATGTATATATAATCATATATATTCATATATCATATATCAAATATATATAGCATCATATATGATTCATATATCATATATATCATGTGTGTATATATATATCTCTATATATATTCTATATATAGAGAGAGAGAATATATATAGAATAGAGAGAATATATATAGAATATATATATTCTATATATAGAGAGAGAGAGAGAAAGAAAGAGAGAGAGAGGTATTTTAAAGAATTGGCTCACACAATTGTGGGGCTTGGTAAATTCAAAATCTGCAAGGTGGAGGTTCTGTCAGGCTGAAGATCCAGGGGAGAGTTGCAGCGTGAATCTGAAGGCAATGTGCTGGCAGAATTCATTCTTCCTCTGAGAAAGGTCAGTCTCTGTTCTATTAAGGACTTTGACTGGTTGGATGAGGCCTATCCACACTATGGTGTGTAATCTGCTTTAATCAAAATCCACCAATTTAAGTGTTAATCTCATCCAAAAAAACACCTTCATGGAAACATCCAGAATAATGTTTGATGGATCGCCTGGTGCCTTGGCTCAACCAAGTTTACATGTAAAATTACCCATCATAGGTTGGAGCTCATCCTTTTGATAGGACGGCCTCCACATCCTCACATATTGACCAAATAAGGGCTCCTAGGCCAATCCATGTTTCAAAATGTAATAAAGTAAAACATCTTATTTGTTTAACATTAAACATGATACATAATGAGTATATGAAAATAACAGTATAAATATTTTTAAATGCAAATAAAAGATGTAATATTGTATTCTAGCCACAACGGATTGTCCTTTAGTATCTTCCAGTGTTTTCCTTCTAAAAGATGCCAGGATTTTTAGAAAGCACTACTGCTGAAAGTGAATAAGGTTTGTCTTAGTCTATATAATTTAGTAAAATCAAATATTTGGTATTGATTGTATTATAATTTCAAATAGTGTTTTTCTATTCAATTATTTTATTCATCTTAACTTGGCCATTACCTAAGCTTTACTTTAAACTTTCTTAGAACGAAGAGCTTAATCACACAATGATCTGGAAATTCATTTAACTCATGGGAAACTAAATTGTCTATGAAATATAAATGCATCCTTTTATAACATATAAAATACCCTATTGTTTAAGTATTTCATGTGTTGTATTCCCTAAATAAAGATTTTATTGGGCAAATGGACATTTTTGGGGCTCTGTATTTTAGGTAAGCAAGAATCTGCTGTTTAAATAACAAGAGGAAATGCATCTACCTCAGACAACTGAAATTTAACAAACTCAGTTGCATTTTTATTAGGATTTCATTGTGAGAAATAGCTGATATCGTTGCTTGCTTTGTCCCCCTTGGTGATTCAGTTTCACCTTTGTATATTCAATAGTGGAGAAACGCTGTAGCCTGGACCATAGTTTTAATTTACATTTGGTCTCCTAGAATTTCATTAAAATCGTTTTGTTTGGCATCTAAAGTCTATGTAAGTCCCAGTTTATATTCCCCCTCAGCTAAATAATTACAAGTCACCACATTTCCATAATCTTTGCCAACATTTTTTCCTTTCAGTGGTAGTGGAAAGTAGTTTTTGTTCTGATTGTCTTTGTTTGCCAAGGGCATTTATTACCAAGACTTGGTAAAGGCTCTGATTGGGCCACATTTTCTTCAGCTGGTTCCACTCATGCTCCCAGCCTTGACCAGTGTAGTTGGTTTGTTTGCTTAAATTCAGAGTTGTTGTTTTTTCTCCCATTATATGCTTTCATGATCTGGAAAGTTTTAGAAAATAATTTCTTAAATTAACTATGAGATCTTCTGAAAACTCAAAGTGTAGCCAAAATAATTTCACTTATTGAAAAACAAAATAGCATATGTTAAAAGCTCAGTCTTTCAACCCTTAGGGTAGACATGTGGTTTTGAGTCCTGGCTCCACAACTTATTAACCTCTCTTTGCCCTTGTTGCCTGGTCTTACAAATGGGAGAATTATTAGTATCCTAATTTAAAAGGTTGCTGTGGATAATGCCTTACACATTATAAGTGCTGTTTGTTACACATGTGCTAGATACACTCTGTCTTTGGAGTAAGTAGTTCAGTAAATTAAACCACTTAGCTATTTACTGAGCTCTCTAGCAGGCTAGTTGATTTAGTCAATGGAATGTTGCAATCTCCATACAGTTAGATAATTCCTTTATGTTCAATGGATTTAAATTTAGAAGCATTAAGTTTAGTGATTCTCCTGGGAGTAAATATTAATCATGAACCTAGGTATCTTTAAGTTATAGGCAAAATGATAGCTCACTCTTAAAGTCATTAATTCAAGGTTGGGTGTGGTGGCAATTGCCTATAGTCCCAGCTATTTGGGAGGCTCACTTGAGACCAGGAGTTTGAGGCTGCAGTACGCTATGATTATTGTACCTCTGAATAGCCACTGCATCCCATCCTGGACAACAAAGCGAGACCCCATCCCTGAAAAAATAAAATAAAAGATTGTAAAGACAGCTCATGTTATTAGGATACAGTTCATAATCTGTGATTGCAATTATAGTCAGCCAGACCTTGCCTAAGCATTCTCAAGCTCAGTCACAGTTTTCATATTCTCATCACTTCTATGGAATTAAATGCCTTGTTAATAATATATGTGTTGGGTTTAATTGTCTTTTAAAATATATTTTAAAAGATTACAATATAACTGAGCATTAACACAAAAAAGTTATTATATTTGCAATAAAGCGTGGAAACAGAACATTGAGTATACATTTGATACTGAAGAAGCAGATACTTGTTTTTGAAAAGATAGTCATGATTTCATTTTTTCTTGCAAAGCAACTATCAAGTGCTCTATGGAACCTAAGAAAGGACAGTACTTACAGGCATGAAAAGTTACGATATAGTTTGCTCCTAAAATACACGTAACTGCCCCTAGACACTTTTTAGTAAGGCCAGTAATTTGGGGAGAAAAATCTGCAACTAATGTTCAAGAAATCTTTAAAGAAATGCCATCTTCTCAGCCCTGGGGCAATATTGTGTAGAAAACACAGACATTAACAACTCTAAGCTGAAAAGTGAGTCAGAAGCATTGGACTCAGATTGTAAAGAAATTTAGGAAATGTCTTCTTCATTAATTTATTGCATTAACATTTTCCTTTTATACCCACATAAGACTGATATGAAATTCTTTAAAGTTATGTTAAGTTCAAAATTGTGTTTACTTTACTAAAAGAGCTCTTTCAGTAAATATAAGATTTTAAAAACTAAGTGATTTATAGGCCTTGTGGATAGCTTAATTGGTAGCATTGTTTTCTTCTTTTGTATTAATATATAAAGATTATAGCACATGTTAAATTGATGAAATCGTATTTGGTGAAATATAATAAGCATGAGTAACAGTATAAGCCTATCTGTGGTAAAGGACCTAGTTTCAATTTTCAATTCGTCACAGGTATTTTTTAAAGTACAAGAAAAATGAAATTTAAAAGATATAAAAATATAATAAGCTAATTCTTCAAATCATTAGATATAACGAATGTAAAATTACTTTGTCAAATTGCTCTAAAATTTTCTAGGTGCTCACTCTCACTTTCTGAACTTATCTTGCCCCAGATCAGTAACAATCCATGGATCAGCAATTTGTGGGCCACACTCTGTGACTGATCTGTGCTGCTATTGAAGTGATAACACTGAATATCAGATATTCTCAGGAATGGCTGGTGAAGTTCAGAAAAAGATAAACCTTAGGTTTTCTTTCTTATACACATCAACATAATGTTTTATGTTTGTATAGAACTTTGCAGTTTATGAAATACTTGCACCAATAAAGCCTTCCAGCCAAGTTGTCTGGATAAGTTGACTCAACACAATATTGCCCCAAGAACTGAGAAGACAGCATTTCTTTAAAGATTTCTTGAACATCGAGTATGTTTCTTTGATGCATACTCTCCACTCTAAACACATATATAGGTTGATAACAGAGAGACCAAAAAGACATAGCCCATCTCAAAAACAAGATCAGCATTTTTCTTGGACAGAAATGCCAAGCAAAAGCAGGGGCAAAACTCAAGGAAGACAATAGCAGTCAGGAGCTTAGCCCTTGTCAGTTAAAGAGCAGAGAGTGCTCCATGCAAGAAGGCAACAGAAATACTCATTTCTCAAAGCTGGAGACTGGAATGAGGCTCCTGCTCTCATGAAAGGAGGAAGACAAAAACCGCTTCTGACTCAAGTGTGTAAGAAGCTGTGAGCCAGGAGGCAAGAGGGCAAAGACACCATTTTATGATTAGGTGCTGGGGCATAAGCATAACCCGGGCAAAGGTATTGGAACACCAATCTGTAGAGATTGGAACACCAGTATCTACAGGTATCAAAGGGGTTTTTTTTTGTCCATTGCTCCAGGGGTTTCCCCTCAAATGCCCTGAGAGAAACTGGGTGCGTAGAATGATTCCTATCGCACAAATGAGAAAATTAAAGCTCAGAGAGTTTACCTAGGAGCATGCAGGACTAATGCCCAGCTTACTGTGCTACCTCAAAAACACAATCTGAGTTGTGTAGTCGGAGTTAATGGAATCGATAGTAGAAAACTTATTCTTTCCTTGAAAATTGTTGTTGTTGTTGTTGTTGTTTGTTTGTTTGAGACAGAGTCTCGCTGTGTCACCCAAGCTGACGTGCAGTGGCACGATCTCAGCTCACTGCAACCTCTGCCTCCTGGTTTCAAGCAATTCTTGTGCCTCAGCCTCCCAAGTAGCTGAAATTACAGGCACACACCACCACACCTGGCTAATTTTGTATTTTTAGTAGAGATGGGGTGGGAGGTGGGGTTCACCATTTTGGACAGGCTGGTCTTGAACTCCTGACCTCAAGTGGTCTGCCTGCCTTGGCCTCCCAAAGTGCTGGGGTTACAGGCATGAGCCACTGCAAATGGCTGAAAATTCAGGTATTTTTAAATTACAACCGAATAGATGTTAAAATTTGTGGCTTTTATAATCATTTTCCCAAAGAATATCAGTTTTTATGATAAAATTTCAACAATACGTGGAGTAAATAAACTTTTGTCTCTTACAAGTTAGTATATTGGTTTCTACACGGTAGTATCAAACTCCAAGATACCAGCATTTTCCTCCAAAAGGTGGAGAGGGTCTTCATATTTTATTAGATGGGGAGAAGCCACTGACAACATGATCTACAGCCTGGACAATAATTTTCAAAATGTTGAGAAAACAATTGAGAAATATATGCCAGCATACTTCCTGGAATTTTCAAAATAGTCCCAATTTCATATAACCTTATTTCTTTTTTTTTTTTTTTTTTTTTTTTTTTTGAGACGGAGTCTCGCTCTGTCGCCCAGGCTGGAGTGCAGTGGCGGGATCTCGGCTCACTGCAAGCTCTGCCTCCCGGGTTCACGCCATTCTCCTGCCTCAGCCTCCCGAGTAGCTGGGACTACAGGCGCCCGCCACTACGCCCAGCTAATTTTTTGTATTTTTAGTAGAGACGGGGTTTCACCGTTTTAGCCGGGATGGTCTCGATCTCCTGACCTCGTGATCCGCCCGCCTCGGCCTCCCAAAGTGCTGGGATTACAGGCGTGAGCCACCGCGCCCGGCCCAACCTTATTTCTTTTACTTACCTTTTCTTAACAGATTATGGATATGTGGTTTAATTTCAATGGCTTTGTAAGATGCACTATATAAATCAAGGCAAACAAGTAGAAAAAAACTTTCATCAAATATCTTAACTTGATATTTTTTATTCAGAAGCTCTAGGCTACATTTGAGAGAGGTCCCTGAAACCAAGCAAAGTACCAATCAACAGGCATGTGGATTCAGCTTGAACAGATACGGAAATTAGTACAGGAAGCACAGTCATAATAGCGAGCATGGGTAATATCATAAACTAAAGCCACCCTCACCTTGCCCCGGTTTCTTCAAAAAAAAAATTCCCTCTGAATTTACTTACTCCTCTACTTACTCCTAGCATCTACCCATTTGTCTGTTGACAAATAATGAAAATTTGGTTCTCTAGTCTCATACTTCTTTATCCCCACCAACTGCTAAGTTCATCCAAGTAACACAGTACCATAAGAGATATGGTACTGTTTCTCAAAATTGTGTGCAGGATTTTGTTAGAATTTATAGAAGATGTGGTTATGCTTTTTAATTTAAAAAGTAAATATAGGATTTTTCTTTATTCTTGTTCAATGCTTCCTTCTTCTCATTCTGACATTAAAAGTCATATTATACAGTCAAACATTTGGAGTGTTTAGATGTACACATTTCTTGCATACATGTATATTTTACATAGTCTTATACATCACTTGACACATAGTTCCTAGTTTTCACTTTGAGGATAAGTTGTCATCATTTTCATGCATACAGTGGAAGGAAATGAGCACATCTTGCTTTCTTGCACAGTGGATCAGACACGCCCTTAACCCTGAAATCCATTTGGGAAAGGATTCCACAGATATTAGCTCACTTAAAAATAGTTCATGCTTTAGGACAGTTTGTTTCTTTCAAGGTTATAAGACTGGATAAATAATGTAGAGACTTTTGAAATGTTGAGTTTACATCTTAGCAATTAAGAGTATTCAAAAATAAACCATAAACGCTTGTGATTTATATGTTTGGCAAAGCACTTATAAGTTGAGATTTGCTTTTTTCTTCTTAATCCCAGAATGGGAATTTTCTATCTGATTTAAGAAGTAGGAATTTTTTTTTTCTTTTTTTCCTCTACCTGTGTGGAGGAACTTCCACAGAATTTTGGTGTGTGGAGCCCATTTTCAAATAACATCTGCCAATTGTTCTTATAGATCAGATTATTTTAAGAAAAGGAATAAAGAAAAAGGATTAGGCCAGTTATGACACCAGCTTGTAACCAAAAATAATGGCTGACATTAATGTGTTTCTAACTGTTTAAGCACCTAAGTGATGTTTAAAATCTCAACCCATGTGTAAGAGAAACTTGCCAAAACTCGCTCAGTGCTAGTTCATTCCTGATTTAAAATACTCTGTGCTTGAAGAAATTATCTGGCTCCAAATAAGCTATTAATTGCAGTACACAGATACTTATTTATAGTTTTGTGGTTGGCATATATGACTGGGTTCGGGACTCCCACTGCTTTGAAAAACACTTAGCAATGTCTGCCAACTGACATTCATAGATATATCATTATCTATTATTTCCCAGGTTTGAAAGAGAAACTAAAAAAATCTTTGTCAGACCTTTTACCTAATTTTTTTAAAATTCAGAAGCTCTAGGTTATATCTGAGGAAGAGCCCCTAATTCATATATGGGAGTTAATGAATTAAGGCATTTGTTTGATAAGCACTATTAAATACCTCATACGTCATACAGTATTTTGGGTGCTGGTGATAAAACTAAGACATGATTTATACCCCCAAAGAGTATAAACAGTTTAAATGGAAGAGAAGGCTACATAAACAAGTAGGTGGAATGAAGCTTTATAGGTGCTGTGATGGAAGTATTCATGGAGTATGATGAGTTCATAAAGGAAGGAGTCATTGCCAACTGGGTGAGGCCATGGGAAATCAGGATGTTAATCAATGGAGAAGGTGGGGCTTGAATTAAGTCTGGAGAATGTACTCTCATTCATCAGGAAGTAAAGGTGATGTGAGTCTGCAAAGAAGAGTCATGGCACAGTTGTATGGTACATTTGGAGAACTCTGGATATTTCATTGTGACATGAATGTAAGATACAGTGAGAACTGGGTTCAGTTAGATATGAAGCTGAAGAGAAAAGCATAAACCAAAGTAGAGATGATCTTGTGTTCCAGCGCAGGTGTTTAAGTAAAACCTTACCAATAAAAGGCAACCTTTGAAAAATTCTAAAAGGGTAAAATCTAAAAGAGTAGGGACATCATCAGATTTCAAATTTAGAGCTAAAAGTCTGGGAGCAGTGTGAGAACAAACTGGAAGGGGTTAGATAAGAATCAGTGACCACATAACAAGAGGCTATGAAAAAGATGCTGAAAATCTAAATAAAGGCAGCAGTGGTTGGGAGCAGGAGGCGACACAAAGGAGAGATATTTAGGAGGCAGAATCGAAATAGCTTGGTCACAGATGAAATGAATCTTTGAATGGATAGATCAATGTTTTGCTTATCCATTCTCTATGGCCCATTATTATCAATACAATTAATTTCCAAAACACCTGAATTTGAAAATGAATGGCCATGGGGAAAGGTAATCTTTCTATCATTTCACAACCACATATTTTATAGCCCAGGCACTTAGTCTGGTCCTCGGCACTGAACCAGGGCCAGGAATGTCTTTGCTGTGTCAGGTATTAACCTCTTAGTTGTTGAATAATCAATTACTTTTGCACCATTCTAAAAGCATGCCTGAGAGAGATTTACCCCATTTCTAAACAAGCCAATAACCACATAAATTCATAGACATCCTCTTCTATGCATCACCAAACACCCTACCATCTCAAGATTTGGTGAGAAAGAGAAAGGTTAAGAGCTGAGAGATCTAGATTGGCATTCTGATTCTGCCCTTTGGTATTGTATGACCTCAGGCAAATACTTAACATTTCTGAACTTTATTATTTTCCTTCATAAAATGGAACTAATAGAGTTTATCCTACTTCCTCCCAGGGATAAAGGGTGGATCAAGTAACATAATATATACAAAAGATCTTTGTAAATTGTGATGCTCTCTCTGTAAAAGGTGGTTATTGTTACAATACGAATGCTGTAACCTGAGTTTCCCTAAGCATCTTCAAACTGTGGAAGCCTTAATGACATTGGCATGACATTAATTTAAGTTGCAATAGTCTTTGTTCCCACCTGCTCTGTCAAGATCTCAGCCCCTGCAACATTCTTCTGATGACTTGCCAGAGCTCTTAAAGCAGTCCAGCCTTCAATCTTAGTGACACATCTTCTTCTGCTGAGCACCACTATCTTGTAGGGCATGGCAGTTGCTTCTTCTGATTCCAGTGACCACCTTCCTGGGGCAATGCAGTCATCTCCATCTGGACAGATCACTATTTCCACTGTGTCCTTGCAGCTACTGTGTTGCCCCACCAGGCACTATGGCTGAACACCATAGCCACATTCTGCTGGAAATTTTCTTTGGCCCTCCAACAAGTGTCTAAAGCAGTGATTCTCAACACCTCCTGTACACTAACTTCTCCTGGGAGGATTTTTAAAAATATAAATGCCTAGACCCTGCTCTTACCAGACTTTTGGAAACCAAATCCTGAGGTTAGAGCCTGGGCATCAGTATTTTTTAAAACATACAGGTGATTCTGATGCACACTGAGTTTTGAGGGCCACCCTGTGGGATGCGGAAGTACCTCTCTCTCCCCTGTCATGTGTCCTCTGGTAAAGAGGCCACAAAACTGTGCTGCATGTGCCCCCGGCTTAAAGAGGTTCTCTGGAGCCTTGAAAAAAATACAGAGTGAAAGAAATAGCTACATGAAATTTTTCTTCATATTCAAATTTGTAGCGATAGTATATGGTTGGCCCTCTGTATACATGGGTTTCTTATGCATGAATTCAACCAACCTCAGATAAAAAATATTTGGAAAAAAATACAATAAAAAGTAATATAAATTTTAAAATACAATATTAAAACTTTATGTAGCATTTACATTGTATTAGTTATTTTAAGTAATCTAGAGATGATCTAAAGTGTACAGGGTATGCCTGGGTTATTTGAAAATGCTATGCCATTTTATATAAGGGACTTGAGCATTCATGGATTTCGGTATCTGCAGGGGTTCCAGAACCAGTCCCTCACAAACACCAAGGAATGACTGTATACTCCTTCAGGTATGAGAAAATGCTGTTTCATTTTTATACTCTTATGTTATTTTAAGTGTGTGTTTTATAATGTAGTACATAAATAAGTCAAGTGTATATAATTGTACATGCTCAAAATATGTTACTTACAGGGATGTGGGGTCAAAAATTTATACAAGACTGTTTTCCTTCTAGCATTTATGATATTCTATAGTTTCATACTTAAAATTGGCAATTTTTTCTCATCTAAAGAAACCCTACAACTTATTCAATAAATTATCTCATATATAGACTGTTTAAAACTCATAAAGTGGTTGAAATTTCTAATACTAAGGTACTAGTAAAAGCCATAAGTTGAAAGGGGATTTTTTTTTTTTTTTTGGCAGATTGGTCTCCTATTCCCAGAGTTTTTTTTCAAATATTTAAATATTATGTGTTTAAATACTAAATATTAGTGTACATAGATGGAAAACAAAGAAAATTTTGTCTGTGAATAACAATAACACAGTACACTTTAAAATTACAGAAAGAGACTTTTTCACATGTTTCTAATCTGACAGTAAAATAATAATCTGTGTTTTAGCCAGGTGGAAGGAGTCAACCGTAATACTTTTCTTCTTTCAGGATAATTTTGTAAACAACATGCTCCTTAATTAAGCAGCACCAAAATGCACATCTAAGTGACTTATCTCTACTATATTTCTGAGGGATTGAAAAAGGATTATAATTACTAGTATCGGTTCTCTGCAAATAATTTTACACGCACACACACACATAATCTTTTTCATTCTTTTTTTTTTTTTTTTTTTTTTTGAGACGGAGTCTCACTCTTTCGCCCAGGCTGGACTGCAGTGGCGCTGTCTTGGCTCACTGCAAGCTCCACCTCCCGGGTTCAGGCCATTCTCCTGCCTCAGCCTCCCTAGTAGCTGGGACTACAGGTGCCCGCTACCACGCCCGGCTAATTTTTTTTTGTATTTTTAGTAGAGATGGGGTTTCACCGTGTTAGCCAGGATGGTCTCGACCTCCTGACCTCGTGATCCACCCGCCTCAGCCTCCCAAAGTGCTGGGATTACAGGCGTGAGCCACCGCACCCGGCCAATCTTTTTCATTCTACACTGTGAATTATTTACCTCATTATACAACATAAGTTATCAAAGCAATTATAGAAAGACTGAATGGTCATGTTACAAAAACTTGGAATTTTATTGGAAAGTGGAAAAAACATTTCCTGTGATTCTCAGATCAAAACTCCCTTGGGCCTCATCACAAGGCCTTTCAAAAACAGCGGTTGAAATGGAGGTAAGGAAATTTTGCCTACATAAGAAACTCCGCTCTGCTTTGTTTAGGAAGTGATGACTAAAGTTTAATTCATTGGATCACAGGGCCCGGAAATGCCGTGCCAGCTTGGATCTACTTTGAGTTTCCTTAAGAAACCTGGTATGTTTTAATTCAAAGATGTGGAGACCTGTTGGCAATTCTTTGGAAGCATTTAGCAAACTATATTAAGGCTACCTTCAGGCACTTCATTTATAAGCTGTAAGAATTCCAGCTGTTTTCCCTTGAGTCTATTTTTCTAGAGAATACTTGTCTTCCATTAAATTCTGTGTCACAGATAAAATAATTTTCTGTAAAACATATGCATTAATTTGCTTTTATCTAAATATCTATGCAAAGAAAGTTGTCTAAACTCTTCAAGCAGCTGCTTATATTAGAATGTCAAGTTCTTTTCTAGATTTAGCTAATAGGTTGGGAATGTAAACTTGATTTTGGTTGCTAATATTACTGTTTTAGATCTTTCCAATCACATAATTTCATTCTAAGCTAAGTTTTCCCTTTTCCTTCTCATCCTATTTTCCTTGGTCATCTTAGAAGGTGGACTTTCTGTTAAATTCCTCCTGCTTACGCATTACAAATAAAAGACTTTTTTTTTTACATTGTAATCATGGCCAACAAAGTCACCATATAAGATCTTCCTTATATATGTGCGCCCCACATCAAAGATTGTGCTTTTGTAAACAATGAATTCAGATTCAAATAATCTATTAATGAAGAAATATAAGTAACTTTAAATTTCTTTACAGTGAATTATTTCACTCTGTTTCTGTTTTTTAAAAAATAGAATTTTCAAGAGTTAGTCCCATGAAAATCACTCTGTGGTATGTCTATGAATAAATAGGTCTGATTTCTTTTAAGGCCAGTCTAGGAACTGTTCACTTCCTTTATCAAATCCATTTTCCAAATTTGTTAGCACTTAAGCAGTAACATTAGGGAGGTGAGTCTACAGAAAAGCAGAGTATAAATATGGAGTCAAACAAATACTGCAAAGATACAGTTAAGTTCAATATTAAATAACCTGCAATAGTCAAGGACTATGACAAAAGTTCCAAGAATAGGCCAAGATAAAAGAAAGAAAGATGAAAGAAGAAAAAGCATCTTACAACATTTTAGTCAAAGGTATACAGAAAAAAACAAAGCAACAGCCTTTGCAAATAGCAACCTATTACGCAAAGGCTGGTTTTGCGTAGAGAAAAGTAATTTAAGCTATAATTTGCTATTTTCACTGATCCTTTTTTTACATCAAAAACATATGTATACATGACATAACAATGTGTAACTTTGGAAACTTATGGAAATAATGTATGTATAAAAACTTTCTAAGAAAATCATATATGAAGAATGATGGAGTTTGAATGTTTGCCCCCTCAAAAATCTCATGTTGAAATTTGATCCCCAGTGTTGGAGGTGGGACCTGACAGAAGGTGTTTGGGTCATGAGGGCGGATCCTTCATGCATGTCTTGGTGCCATCCTCATAGTAATGAGCAAGTTCTCGCTCTGTGAATTCCCATGAGAACTGATTGTTAAAAAGAGCCTGATGCCTCCTCCACTCTCTCTCTTGCTTCTATCCTCTTACCATGCAATGCTTGCTCCTCTTTACCTTTTGCCGTAAGTGGAAGCAGCCTGAGGCCCTCACCAGAAGCAGATGGTGGTACCATGCTTCTTGTACATCCTAGAGAACCTTGAGCCACATCACCTATTTATGATTTACCCAGCCTCAGGTGTTCCTTTATTGCAATGCAAATTGACTAAGAAAAAGAAGAAAATTATCAAAATACACATTAGGCAATTGTTAAAGATGTATTAAACGCCATTTATTAAATTAGTAAATAAGCTAAATAATATCTAACAGTATAGCTTTAAAACTGTGGTATTATTTAAATTAATTATTTTTGTTTATAAAAGTAAGATATTATCATTAATGAAAATTCAACAAACATAAATAAAGGAGAAAGGAGAAATATTATCTATTGTTTCACCAGATGAGTGTATAAGAGAAGAGAAAAAACTACATCAGGGTTAATTTTGGTAACAAAGAAAAACAGAAGAAAACTTCACATGTTCTACAAATACGTGGAGGATGATGGCAATGAATTAATTTAAACCAGGTTTATAAAAAATTTGGTTTATTATGTTGTATGTAGCTTCAAGCAGGGAGAGAAATAGAAATAATCTTTGTTGAGAATCTACTATCCTCTGCTATCTCAATTTAATGTCACAATAACTTTGCAAGCTAAGCACTGGTACCACTATTTAACTGATAAAGAAAACAGATCTTAGATGGGCTAACAACTTTTCCAATGTTACTTAGCTAGAAAGCAATGAAAGCAAGATTCAATTCCAGGTTTCTCTGGCAAATGTCAATTTTGGAGCTTTCAGTTGCATTTGGTAAAGGCCTATGTATTCTCAAATGTGCCAAAGGGTAAGAGAGAAGAAGGCCAAGGAATTCGGTCTTAGGTCACTGCTCCCTCTTTAAATAAAATAGTTATAACTGAAACTTGTTTTTTACTAGACATTTGTGTGATATTTCAGTAAAAACAAACAAAAGCTCACCTGAAAAAGCTTAAAAAACAATCCACCCCACAATGTTGCCTTACAGCATAGCTTTCAGAAGTTCTTGCCAAAAAAAAAAAAAAAAAACCTGTGATAGAAATTGGGGGAGTGACATCGGCAAGATGGCTAGCTACAGACGCTTGGCATTCATCCCCCCTACAAGAATGAACCAAAGCAAAGAATCCATAGCTGATTTGACTGGAGTGTTGAAGGGAGATCATTAGAATGTAGTAGGAGAGTAGAGACACATTTGTGGTGATTGGAAGCCCAGGAGGGCAGTGTGGAGGCACCTAGCCTCTGCAGCCCCATCTCTCTCACCCAGATCAGATTTGCCTAGAGTCAGGAGGGACGTCCTGTTTCAAGGAGAAGGTATGCAGAAGATCCCCACCAGCCCCCATTGCCACCGTAAACACCTACAATCCTTACAACAGGAAAATCTTAAGTTCTCACAAGCCCTGAGCCAAGTTTTGAAATATACTGGGAATTTGCATAGTTGTATTGCCCAGATTAGAAGCACAAGGTGTGTACTCCTCTCACCCAGCCATGGTGAGCCAACCTGCTGTAGCACGGTGCCATCTTAAGACCAGTGTGTGCCCTCTTCTGGGGCACAGTAGCTACTGCTCTCCTGCATTGGGGCTCCATCTTCATTAAACCAAGCCCACAAATGTGACAGAATGCCAAAATCCTAGCTGTGTGAAGCCTGGGCCTAGGATTGGCTGTGACTCTGGTCCAGCACAGCAGGATAACCAATCCCTGCCTCCCTCACTTCCAGTCAAAGGAACAGTCTAGCAGTCCTGCCTAGGACAAACTTATCCTAAAGCCTGCCAAACCACTACATGCCTTCCCCTGAAGTCGGAGAGGCCCCTGAGTCTTCAAGCAGCTAATATGCCCCTGGGCCAGCAGAGTAGCTACATACCTGTGCTCAGAACCTAAGAGCCCCCTAGCATCCCTGATACCCCCAGACATGTCCTTGGCCTGCCCAGTGGCCCTGTAACCCTAATAAGGGCCTGAGAAATAGTCTTGTAAGCCATGATTGGTAGGCATGCTCCCAGATCAGCCAAGCAGCCAAGAGACCTGAGAAACAATTCCATGGACCACCCTGTTGAGCGCACCCCTGAGCCAGCCAAGCAGCCTTACACTTTCATCTCAAACCTAAGCACTAGCCCATGGTCCATCCAGAGAAGACGGCCCCAGGCTCGTCAAGCAGCTATGTGCCCCTGAGAAAGAGCCCTGTGAGCTGCTTCTGGTAAGCATGCCCGGGACCAACCAAGCATCCCTGTGTCTGCATCCCAGGTCTGTGCAACAGCACCATGGACCGCCTCCCACAGACATCCCCCAGCTGAGCAGCCATGCAGCTTTAAAGCTTGAGAAATAGTGTCGTGGATCAGCTGCAGCAGGCACACACACAGCCAGCCCTGCACCCACATACCAGGCCTAAGAAATAACCCCATGGACTATCACTGGCTAGCACACCCCCCTACTCCAGCCAAGCAGCCTTTAGCCCATGTCCCAGGCCTGAGAAACAGCCCTGTGGGTCAACCCTGGAAAACACATTTCCAGGTGGCAGAGCAGTAGTGTACATACCTTCCAGGCCTGAGAAACCACCCCACAAGCTGCTCCTGAGAGGCCAAACCCCAGGCTAGCCAAACAACTGTGTGCGTTAGTTTGTGGCCAGAGTAACAGCCCTGTGACCCCCAACCCTGGAGAGTCAAACCTCACATTGGCCAACCCATATGTGCATACAGATACCCTCAACATAAGAAACAGCCCAGTGGGCCCACCCATGGCAAAGCACACAACCAAGCCACAAACATTCTCAGCCTAAGACGCTAAGAAACTCGCAAATGCCACCGGCATGGATTACAACTGAAGAAACTACACAGAGACTATACTAGAACAAAGATCAAAACACACAACACACTGATACCACCAGACCTATTCATATGAATAAGTCTTTCCCTAGGAAGCCTACTCGATAAATTTGGAAGAGGTGAATTTTCTACCAGATGCATAGAAATCAATGTAAGGACACATCAACCATGAAAAAGCAAGGAAACATGTCACTTCCAAAGGAAAATAATTCTGCAGTAATATACCCCAATCAAAAGGAAATATAGGAAGTGCTAGAGTAGTAATTCAAAATAATAATCTTAAAGAAACTCAGTGAGATACAAGCAAATGCACATAGACAATTCAATAAAATTAGGAAACAATTCATCATTTGAATGAGAAATTCAACAAACAGATGTGATAAATAGATATCATTATAAAAAAACAAACAAATCCTAGAACTGAAGAATTTACTGAGTTAAACAAAAAATACAATTGAGAACTGTAACAACACATTAGACCAACCAGAAGAAAGAATTTATGAACTAGAAGATAAATATTTTGAAATAATACAGGCAGACAAAAAAAAAAGAAAAAAGAAAACAGAATAAAGAAAGCATGCTGGATTTACAAGACACGATTAAGCAAATATTTACATTATGAGCATTATAGAAAGGAGAAGAGACAAGGAAAGGTAAGAAAAATATATTTAATGAAATAATAGCAAAAAATGTCTCAAGTCTATGGAGAGAGAAGGATATCCAGGTTCAGGAAGCTCAAAGAACCCCAAATAGATTCAACTTAAACAGGTCCTCTTCAAGGGACATCATAGTCGAATTGTCAAAAGTCAAGAACATAGAATTTTAAAAGCAGCAAGAGAAAAGTGTAAAGTCGTATATAAGGGAATCCTCATTAGAATAACAGTGTATTGCTGGGTGCAGTGGCTCATGCCTGTAATCCCAGCACTTTGGGAATCCAAGGTGGGTGGATCACGAGGTCAGGAGTTCGAGACCAGCCTGGTCAACATGGTGAAACCCCACCTCTACTAAAAACACAAAAGTTAGCCGGGTATGGTGGCAGACGCTTGTAATCCCACCTACTTGGGAGGCTGAGGCAGGATAATTGCTTGAACCCAGGAGGCAGAGGTTGCAGTGAGCCAAGATCATGCCACTGTACTCCAGCCTGGGTGACAGAGCCAGACTCCATCTCAAAAAAAAAAAAAAAAAAGCGCATTTCTCAGCAGACAGTTTATAGGCCAAGAGACAATAAAATGATATAGTCAAGATGCTGAAAGAAAAAAAAACCTGCCAGCCAATAATAATATACCCAGCCAAATTATCCCTCAGAAATGAAGGATAAATAAAATCTTTCATAGACAAACAAAAACTAAGAAAACTTATCACCACTACACCAGCATTACAAGGGAGTCTTATGTTTGGAAATAAAAAGATGATAACCACTATTATGAAAACATGCAAAACTATAATACTCACTGGTACAGCTGATACACAAAGGAGAAAGATAAATCAAACTTTATCACTACAGAAAACCACCCAAATCTAAAAAAATAATAATAAGAAGAAAGGATATAAGGAACAAAGAATATACAAAATAACCCCGAAACAAACAATAAACATGATAGGAATAAGACCTCACCTATCAAAAATAATCTTGAATACAAATGGATTAAATTCCTCATTTAAACAACATAGACTGACTGAATGGTTACAAAAACAAGACCTATCTCCATACTCCCTACAAGAAGCTCATCTTGTTATTAAAGACACAAATAGGATGAAAGTGAAGAGATAGAAAAAGATATTCCACGGTGACAAACACCAAAAATGAGCGGGAAAACCTATACTTGTATCAGACAAAGAGATTTCATTTTAAAAGCTATAAGAAGAGACAAAGAAGGACATTATGTGATAATAAAGGAATTAATTCAGTGAGAAAATATAACAATTGTAAAAATATATTCACCCAATACTAGAGCATTCAGGTATATAAAGCAAATATTATTAAATCTAAAGAGAGAGATAAACCCTAAAACAATGATATCTAGGGACTTAAAAACCTCACTGTCAGCACTAGACAAATCATCTAGACAGAAAATCAACAAGGAAACATTGAATTTAATCTGCTCTATAGACCAAATAGACCTAACAGACATTTACAGAACATTTCACTCAACAGCTGCTTGGGTGACCATATGTTAATTAAGCATAATTAACATGTGTTAATCAAGCATAATTAACATGTGTTAATCAAGCATAATTAACATATGTTAATTAAGCATTAATGTTAATTAATGCTTAATTAACATATGGTCATTTCTCCAGGACTGATCATATATTAGAACATAAAACAAGTCTCCAAAATTTTTAAAAATTGTGACCATACCAAGTATCTTATCTGATCACAATGGAATAAAACTAGACACCAATAACAAGAGTAACATTCAAAACTATACCAATACATAGAAATTAAATAGCTGGCTCCTAATGACCAATAGGTAAAGAAAGAAATTAAGACTAACATTTAAAACTTCTTTGAAACCAATGAAAATTTAAGCATAACATACCAAAACTTATGGAGCAAAAGCAGTATTAAGAGGTAAGTTTATAGCAATATATGCCTACATCAGAAAACTAGAAAGATTTTAAATAAACAGTGTAACAATGTGCCTTGAAGAACTAGAAAAGCAAGAACAAATGAACCCCAGAATTAATAGAAGGAAAAAAATAATATAAATCAGAGCATACATAAATAAAACTGAGAGTAAAAAAATACAAAAGATTCATGAAACAAAAGGGTAGTTTTTGAAAATATAAACAAAATTGACAAACCATTAACTAGACTAAGAAAGAGAAAAGGTTCAAATAAATAAAAATCAGAAACAAAAAATGACATATCTCAATAGATAACATAGAAATAGGAAGGATCATTAGAGATTACTATATACCAGTAAATTTAAAAATAAAGAGAAAATGGATAACTTAATGGACATATACAACCTACCAAAATTGAAACAAGACAAATAGAACACCTAAACATATAATATTAATAACAATTAATGAGATTAAATCAATAATAAAAAGTCTTCCAACAAAAAAAAGTCCAGGACTGGTTTTACCATTGGATTCTACTAAACATTTAAAGAATTAACACTAATTCTTCTCAAACTATTTTAAAACAGAGGGAATTTTTCCTAACTCATTCTATGAGGCTAGCATAACCCTGTTAGCAAAAGAAGACTAGGATCCAACATAAAAAGAAAACTACAGGCCAATATCTGATGAACATAGAAATAAAAATTCTCAACAAAATCTTAGCAAACTAAATACAACAACACATCAAATTAATCATACACCATGATCAAGTGGGATTTATCCCAGGAAAGCAAGCATGAGTCAACATATGCAAATCAATACACATCATACATCACATTAATGGAATGAAGAACAAAAGCCATATGATCATCTTAATAGATGCAGAAAAAGCTTTTGATAACATTCAACATCCCTTCATAATAAAAACTAATAAATTAGGTAGAGAAGTGTTGGCGAAACCAGTCCCACACCACCCAGTGGGTACTCGGAGTCCAGTGGAGACAAAGGAGTTAGAAAGAGACAGAAAAAGCGTTTAAAAGGTGGGTCCAGGGGACCAGAGCATCGGAGGTTTGCTCACAGCCCAGAGCTCTCAGGCTCTGCCCAATTTATTGGTTTAATTGGTTTACAAGCTCTTTGTTCTTAGGGCAGATGGGAGGGGGAGGAAGGGATGAGGAAATGGATTAATCAGTGAAGGAGAACTCGTGAGTTATTTGATAAAATGTATAGCAGTGGTGGTTTCTGTGAATTTCCTTGAGCAAAGGCGTGTGTATAAACTACTTAAGATCTTTAACTTATCTGGACTGAAACGGGTGGGAGCAGGTTTCAGGAGGAGCCAAGATGTTTGATTATACTCCACTGCTTCAAGGAAGCGTTATCTCCCTGAGCAACCTATGGAATGCCGCTGAGTGGTTATGCTCTTGGGGCATAAAGACATGAAGGCAATAAGGAGACTTCTCCTCAGAGTCCACCCATGGCTTTCCATGGGTGTCGCACACAGAGGAGACCAACCAGAAACTCTCTTTCCCACAAGAAGGAAAGAAGCTCAACATACTAAAGGCTTTATATGGAAAATCCACAGCTAACATCTTACTGAATAGAGGAAAGCTAAATCTTTTCCTATAAAAACTAATAGAACATAACATAGAACTGGAAACCCTAGCCAGCACAGTTAGCAAGAGAAAGAAAAAAAGGGCATCAAAATTGTAAAGGAGGAAGTCAAATTGTCCCTGTTTGCAGATGACATGATCTTATATATAGAAAAACCTAAAGACGGGGAGTCTGTTCCAAGATGGCCAAATAGGAACAGCCCCGGTCTGCAGCTCCCAGTGTGATTGATACAGAAGATGGGTGATTTCTGCATTTCCAACTGAAGTACCTGGTTCATCTCACTGGGACGGGATGGACAGTGGATGCAGCCCATAGAGGGTGAGCCGAAACAGGGCAGGACATTGCCTCACCCTGGAAGCACAAGGGGTGGGGGGATTTCCCTTTCCTAGCCAAGGGAAGCCATGATAGACTGTACCTGGAAAATCGGGGTACTCCTGCCCAAATACTGTGCTTTTCCAATGGTCTTAGCAAACGGCACACCAGGAGATTGTATCCCACACATGGCTTGGAAGGTCCCACGCCCATGGATCCTTGTTCACTGCTAGTGCAGCAGTCTGAGATCAAACTGTGAGGCAGCAGCCTGGCTGGGGGAGGGGCATCTGCCATTGATGAAGCTTGAGTAGGTAAACAAAGTGGCTAGCAGGGGAAGGTCAAACTGGGTGGAGCCCATCAAAGCTCAGCAACACCTATTGCCTCTGTAGCTTCCACCTCTGGGAGCAGGGCATAGCTGAATAAAAGGCAGCAGAAACTTCTGCAGACTTAAACATCCCTGTCTGACAGCCCTGAAGAGAGCAATGGTTCTCCCAGCACAGTGTTTGAGCTCTGAGAATGGACAGGCTGCCTCCTCAAGTGGGTCCCTGACCACCATGTAGCCTAACTGGGAGACACCCACCAGTAGGGGCCGACTGACACCTCATACAGGCAGGTGCCCCTCTGGGACGAAACTTCCAGAGGAAGGATCAGGCAGCAATATTTGCTGTTCTGCAATATTTGCTGTTCTGCAGCCTCTGCTGGTGATACCCAGGCAAACAGGGACTGGAGTGAACCTCCAGCAAACTCCAACAGACCTTTAGCTGAGGAACGTGACTGTCAGAAGGAAAACTAGCAAACAGAAAGGAATAGCATCAACATCAACAAAAAGGACATCTACACCAAAACCCCATCTGTAGGCCACCAACATCAAAGACCAAAGGTAGATCAAACCACAAAGATGAGGAGAAACCAGAGCTGAAAATTCTAAAAACCAGAGCACCTCTTCTCCTCCAAAGTATCGAAGCTCCTCACCAGCAATTGAACAAAGCTGGACGGAGAATGACTTTGATGAGCTGACAGAAGTAAGCTTCAGAAGGTTGGTAATAAACTTCTCCAAGCTAAAGGAGGATGTTCAAACCCATCAAAAGGAAGCTAAAAACCTTGAAAAAAGATTAGACCAATGGCTAACTGGAATAAACAGTGTAGAGATGACCTTAAATGATCTGATGGAGCTGCAAACCATGGCACAAGAACTATGTGACATATGCACAAGCTTCAGTAGCCGATTCGATCAAGGGGAAGAAAGGGTATCAATGACTGAAGATCAAATTAATGAAATAAAGTGAGAAGAGAAGTTGAGAGAAAAAAGAGTAAAAAGTAACAAACAAAGCCTCCAAGAAATATGGGACTATGTGAAAACACCAAATCTACATTTGATTGGTGTACCTGAAAGTGACGGGGAGAATGGAATCAAGTAGGAAAACACTCTTCAAGATATTATCCAGGAGAACTTCCCCAACCTAACAACGCAGGCCAACATTCAAATTCAGAAAATACAGAGAACACCACAAAGATACTCCTTGAAAAGAGCAACCCCAAGACACATAATTTTCAGATGCACCAAGGTTGAAATGAAGGAAAAAAATGTTAAGGGCAGCCAGAGAGAAAGGTCGGGTTACCGACAAACGGAAGCCCATTATACTAACAGTGGATTTCTTGGCAGAAACTCTACAAGCTAAAAGAGACTGTGGGCCAATATTCAACATTCTTAAAGAATTCTCAACCCAGAATTTCATATCCAGCCAAACTAAGCTCCATAAGTGAAGGAGAAATAAAATCCTTTACAGACAAGCAAATGCTGAGAGATTTTTCTCACCACCAGGCCTGCCTTACAAGAGCTCCTGAAGGAAGCACTAAACATGGAAAGAAACAACCGGTACCAGCCACTGCAAAAACATGCCAAATTGTAAACATCTTTGATGCTAGGAAGAGACTGCATCAACTAACAGGAAATATAACCAGCTAATGTCATAATGGCAGGATCAAATTCATACATAACAATATTAACCTTAAATGTAAATGGGCTAAATGCCCCAATTAAAAGATATAGACTGGCAAATTGGATAAAGAGTCAAAACCCATCAGTGTGCTGTATTCAGGAGGCCCATCTCACATGCAGAGACACACATAGGCTCAAAATAAAGAGATGGAGGAAGATCTACCAAGCAAATGGAAAGCAAAAAAAAGCAGGAGTTGCAATCCTAGTCTCTGACAAAATAGACTTTAAACCAACAAAAGAGACAAAGAAGGCCATTACATAATGGTAACGGGATCAACTCAACAAGAAGAGCTAAATATCCTAACTATATATGCAGCCAATACAGGAGAACCCAGATTCATAAAGCAAGTCCTTACAGACCTACAAAGAGACTTAGACTCCCACACAATAATATTGGAAGACTTTAACACCCCACTGTCAATAGTAGACGGATCAACGAGACAGAAGGTTAAAAAGGATATCCAGGAATTGAACTCAGCTCTGCACCAAGCGGACCTAATAGATATTTACAGAACTCTCCACCCCAAATCAACAGAACATACATTCTTCTCAGCACCACATCACACTTATTCCAAAATTGACCTCATAGTTGGAAATAAAGCACTCCTCAGCAAATGTGAAAGAACAGAAATCACAACAAACTGTCTCTCAGACCACAGTGCAATCAAATTAGAACTCAGGATTAAGAAACTCACTCAAAACTGCACAAATACATGGAAACTGAACAACCTGCTCCTGAATGACTACTGGGTACATAACGAAATGAAGGCAGAAATAAAGATGTTCTTTGAAACCAATGAGAACAAAGACACAACATACCAGAATCTCTAGGACACATTGAAACCAGTGTGTAGAGGGAAATTTATAGCACTAAATGCCCACAAGAGAAAGCGGGAAAGATCTAAAATTGACACCCTCGCATCACAATTAAAAGAACTAGAGAAGCAAGAGCAAACACATTCAAAAGCTAGCAGAAGGCAAGAAATAACTAAGATCAGAGCAGAACTGGAGGAGACAGAGACACAAAAACCCCTTCAAAAAAATCAATGAATCCAGGAGCTCGTTTTTTGAAAATCAAAATTGATAGACCGCTAGCAAGACTAATAAAGAAGAAAAGAGAGAAGAATCAAATAGATGCAATAAAAAATGATAAAGGGGATATCACCACCGATCCCACAGAAATACAAACTACCATCAGAGAATATTATAAATACCTCTACACAAATAAACTAGGAAATCTAGAAGAAACGGGCAAATTCCTGGACACACACACCCTCCCAAGACTAAACCAGGAAGAAATTGAATCTCTGAATAGACCAATAACAGGCTCTGAAATTGAGGCAGTAATTAATAGGCTACCAACCAAGAAAAGTCAAGGACCAGGTGGATTCACAGCCGAGTTCTACCAGAGGTACAAAGAGGAGCTGGTACCATTCCTTCTGAAACTATTCCAATCAATAGAAAAAGAGGGAATCCTCCCTAACTCTTTTTATGAGGCCAGCATCATCCTGATACCAAAGCCTGGTGGAGACACACACACAAAAAAGAGAATTTTAGACCAAAATCCCTGATGAACATCAATGTGAAAATCCTCAATAAAACACTGGCAAACCGAATCCAGTAGCACTTCAAAAAGCTGAGCCACCATGATCAAGTGGGCTTCATCCCTGGGATGAAAGGCTGCTTCAACATACGCAAATCAATAAACGTAATCCATCACATAAACAGAACCATCATCAAGAACCACATGATTATCTCAATAGATGCAAAAAAGGCCTTCAACAAAATTCAACAGCCCATCATGCTAAAAACTCTCAATAAACTAGGTATTTATGGAATGTATCGCAAAACAATAAGAGCTGTTTATGACAAACCACAGCCAATATCATACTGAATGGGCAAAAACTGAAAGCATTCCCTTTGAAAACTGGCACAAGATGGGGATGCCCTCTCTCATCACTCCTATTCAACATAGTGTTGGAAGTTCTGGCCAGGGCAATCAGGTAGGAGAAAGAAATAAAGGCCATTCAATTAGGAAAAGAGGAAGTCAAATTGTCTCTGTCTGCAGATGACATGATTGTATATTTAGAAAACCCCATCGTCTCAGCCCAAAATCTCCTTAAGCTGACAAGCAACTTCAGCAAAGTCTCAGGATAAAAAATGAATGTGCAAAAATCACAAGAATTTCTATACCCCAATAACCAACAAACAGAGAGCCAAATCAGGAGTAAACTCCCATTCACAATTGCTCCAAAGAGAATAAAATACCTAGGAATCCAACTTACAAGGGGTGTGAAGGAACTCTTCAAGGAGAACTACAAACCACTGCTGAATGAAATAAAAGAAGACACAAACAAATGGAAGAACATTCCATGCTTATGGATGGGAAGAATCAATATTGTGAAAATGGCCATACTGCTCAAGGTAATTTATAGATTCAATGACATCCCCATCAAGCTACAAATGACTTTCTTCACAGACTTGGAAAAAACTATTTTAAAGTTCATATGGAACCAAAAAGAGCCCACATTGCCAAGTCAATCCTAAGCAAAAAGAACAAAGCTGGAGGCAACACGCTACCTGACTTCAAACTATACTACAAGGCTACAGTAACCAAAACAGCATGGTAGTGGTACCAAGACATATATATAGATCAATGGAACAGAACAGACACCTCAGAAATAATACCACACATCTACAACTATCTGATCTTTGACAAACCTGACAAAAACAAGAAATGGGGAAAGGATTCCCTATTTAATAAATGGTGCTGGGAAAACTGGCTAGCCATATGTAGAAAGCTGAAAGTGGATCACTTCCTTACACCTTATACAAAAATTAATTCAAGATGGATTAAAGACTTAAATGTTAGACATAAAACCACAAAAACCCTAGAAGAAAACCTAGGCAATACCATTCAGGACATAGGCATGAACAAGGACTTCATGACTAAAACACCAAAAGCAATGGCAACAAAAGCCAAAATTGACAAATGGGATCTAATTAAACTAAAGAGCTTCTGCACAGCAAAAGAAACTACCATCACAGTGAACAGGCAACCTACAGAATGGCAGAAAATTTTTGCAATCCACCCATCTGACAAAGGGCTAATATCTAGAATCTACAAAGAACTTAAAAACAAATTTATAAGAAAAAAAACAAAAAACCCCATCAACAAGTGGGTGAAGGATATGAACAGACACTTCTCAAAAGAAGGCATTTATTCAGTGAACAGACACATGAAAAAATGCTCCTTATCACTGGTCATTAGATAAATGCAAATAAAAACCACAAGGAGATACCGTCTCACACCAGTTAGAATGGCGATCATTAAAAAGTCAGGAAACAACAGATGCTAGAGAGGATGTGGAAAAATAGGAACGCTTTTACACTGTTGGTGGGCATGTAAACTAGTTCAACCATTGTGGAAGACAGTGTGACGATTCCTCAAGGATCTAGAGCTAGAAATACCATTTGACCCAGTGATCCCATTACTGGGTATATATCCAAAGGATTATAAATCATGCTGCTATAAAGACACATGCACACATATGTTTATTGTGACACTGTTCACAATAGCAAAGATTTGGAACCAACCCAAATGTCCATCAATGATAGACTGGATTAAGAAAATGTGGCACATATACACCGTGGAATATTATGCAGCCATAAAAAATGATGAGTTCATGTCCTTTGTAGGGACATGGATGAAGCTGGAAACCATCATTCTGAGCAAACTATCACAAGGACAGAAAACCAAAGACTGCGTGTTCTCACTCATAGGTGGGAATTGAACAATGAGAACACTTGGACACAGGATGGGGAACATCACACACTGGGGCCTTTTGTGGGGTGAGGGACAGCGGGGAGGGACAGCATTGGGAGAAATACCTAATGTAAATGATGGGTTGATGGGTGCAGTGGGCCAGCCTGGCACATGTATACCTATGTAACGAGCCTGCACGTTGCGCACATGTACCCTAGAACTTATAGTGTAATATAAATAAATAAATAAATAAATAAATAAATAAAGTGAAGCAAAAAAAAGAAAAGAAAACCCTAAAGACTCTACAAAAAAAACCCCCAGCAACTTAGAACCAATAAGCACATTAAATAAAGTTGCAAGGTATAAAATTAATATACAAAAATCAGTAGCATTTTTGTACACAAACAATGAACTAGCTGAAAAAGAGGTCAAGAAGGCAATCCCACTTGCAATACCTACAGAAAAATAAAATACCTAGGAATATATTTAACAAATGAGATGAAGGACATATACAAGGATAACTATGAGACAATGATGAAAGAAATTAAAGAGGATACAAACAAATGGAAAGACATCCCATGCTCATGGATCAGAGGAATCAATATTGTTGAAATGACAATACTACCCAAAGCAATCTACAGATTTAATGTAATCTCTATCAAAATGTCAATGACATTCTTCACAGGAATAGAAAAATTTCTAAAATTTGTATAGAACCACAAAAGATCTCAAAGAGCCAAAGCAATCCTGACCAAAGAGAACAAAGCTGGAGATATCACACTACCAGATCTGAAGTATACTACAAAGCTATAGTAACCAAAACAGCATGGTACTGGCATAAAAACAGGCACATAGACCAATGGAACAAAATAGAGAACCCAGAAATTAATCCATATATCTACAATCAATTGATATTTGATAAAGGTCCCAAAAACACCTACTGGGGAATAGTCAGTCTCTTCAATAAATGGTGCTAAGAAATGGATATTTATAGGCAGAAAAACTAGAACCACAACTCTCATCCTATTAAAAAAACAACTCAAATGGCCCAAAGATCTAAATGTAAGACCTGAAACAAAAAAACTACTAGAAGAAAACACACTAGAAATGACTCAGAACATCAGTCTAGAAAATGTTTTGGGAAGAAGTCCTCAAAAGCATAGGCAACAAAAACAAAATTAAACAAATGGAATTATGTCAAACTAAAAAGCTTCTATACAGCAAAACAAACAATCAACAAAGTAAAAAGGCAATCTACAGAATGGGAGAAAATATTTGCAAACTACTCATCTGACAAAGGATTCATATCCAGAACATACAATGAGCTCCAACATTGCAACACCAAGAAAAGCAAACAATATGATTTTTAAATGGGCAAGTGATCTGAATAGATATTTCTCAAAATAAAACAAACAAATGGTCAACAAATATATTTTAAAATGCTTAACATCACCAGTCATCAGGGAAATGCAAATCAAAACCTCAATGAGGTATTATTTCACCCCAGTTAGAATGGCTATTATCAAAACAACAAAAAAATTTTAAAATGCTGGTGAGGATGCAGCGAATAGGGAACTCTTAAAACACTGTTTGTGGGAATATAAGCTAGTACAATCACTATGGCGAGCAGGATAAAAGTTCCTCAAAAATGACCAATAGAACTACCATATGATCCAGCAATCCCAGGGCTGGGCATTTATCCAAAGGAAAGGAAATAATTATAACATAATGGTTGGGGATCCACCGGCTCATCTTGCAACTGCCAAAAATATGATTTATAAGTCCCTATTAAATATTTCTCTCTGAGAAAAAAATAATTATATCAGAGAGACATCTAAACTCCCATGTTATGGCGGCACTATTCGTAATAGCCGAGATTAGAAATCAACATAGGTGTCCAGTAACAGACGAATGGATAAAGAAAATGTGGTATGTATACACAATGGAATACTATTCAGACATAGAAATTAATGAAATTCTGTTATTCTTTACAACATGGATAAAGTGGGAGGACATTATGTTAAATGAAGTTAATTGAAATATTACTATGTACCCCATGAATAGGTACAGTTTTAATTTGTCAATTTAAAACAAAATTTTAAAAACTTGTAAGAAATGAGAATGTCCAATGTCCAGAGAGCTCTTTCTCTGAAGACTTTAAAGAAAAAATATTATATTTTGAGAAAAAATAATATATTCCCTTTTCTTCCTTAAAGTATAAGAATATAAGAGATTATTACTCACATACTTCCTACAACAAGGATGACAAATTTAAAGCTCCTAAGCCCTAGGCCATCATGGCTATTCTGTCACCACTGAGCCAAAATAGAGCCCCAGAATGTTTTTCAGTTGAGCATTTCCAGCCATTTAACCTGTCAATAAGAGATATAGGAACTATTTCATTTTATTTATATACCCACCTTTCCCAGAATTAAAAAAAAAAAAGAAGTCTTGTGCTTCATAAAAGGTGTCTATTGAAACAAAACTAAACTCAAACCATAAAGAAACGAATAACATATCCTGAAGAAATTTCCTCTTTCTCAGAATTAAAAAGGCTTCAACCTTGAATTTTCAAAATAAACTCATCTCAGAGCTGCCACTGTGGTTAGTGAAAACTATTAAGCTACAGACTTCGTACTGATGTCACTCCTTCTCTATTCACTACGTGTGACCCATAGCCCTACCCTGTTTCTCTTCTGCTCTCTGCTTTCATAGGTCTCTGTTGGGTCACTTAGCTCAAGCTAAATGGAAAGAGTAGAAAAAGAGGCTTTCTTTAGCCTTCCTGTCAATATGCAGGCATATAACCTCACTGGAATCAGAAAACCTACAGATTATCACACTCCAACTGTCACAAATGACATCAGAACTGAGTTCATGTGAATACCAATTCTAACAGCATTTTTTAAAAATCAGGGCATGCTTTGTGCCCTCAGTAGAAAATGTTAGAAAAAGCACCTGTTGTTACCCCAATCCCTATCCCCATTTTACTTTCACCTTCTCTAGGTGAAAGCACATGTCAGGCATCAAGATCAAAGTCACACTGATAGAGAGCTAACAGAAATAAAAAGACTGAAGGAGGAAGAAAGGATGTTTATTAAATTGGGGGTCAAAAAAGGAGATAAATAGTATTATCTCCCCTCCTGTTTCAAGAAGAGGTAAAACAGGCTGGAATTTGAGAAACTTTTATTAGGTAAAAGGAAAGGATTTTGAAAACCAAAAAAAAAAAAAAAAGTTGATGATGGGGGCAGAATTTCTCGATTGTACTTTTTTAGGTATAGAGTTTTAGATGATGGGCATTTGTCTAAGACATTTTCAAGATTTCAGGAGACTTTATAAACCTGTGGAAGTGGATAGAAAGGTAGGAAGGCAGGTTAGGTGTGCTTTCAAATATACCAAAGAAGACCAAGATTGAGCTTCTAGACTACTGGCTAAAGAATCAGTGGGGGCCTTCAGATGATCTTCTTACTTGTCCAAACAAATTTACCATTAGGAGAAAAGGCAGATTTCTGAAGAATTACTTTGCAGAAATAAAGATATTATCAGGCAAGAAAAGCTACATTATGCTGCAGTGACAAAATCTTATTGACTTAAAGTAATCAAGTCTTGTTTCTTGTTCAATCTATACATTCACCTACTCTGCTCATAATCATTCAGGGAACACTCACCATCTCAAACATTAAAAATTAGAGAGAAAAGAATTATGAAGGTTCTTGCCTTGGCTATTAAATGATTTCCCTGGAAATATCATGTGCTACTTTTGCTCATAACTTATTATTCAGAACCAATCACAGGGCCTCACTCAGACACAATGAGGATGAAAAGTATGATACCATGTGCCTAGAACAGGAGACAGGGGATACATTTAAGAGTACAGCGCTAATAACTACCTCAAGAGGGCATCCTCCTGTTTCTCAAGAACCTAAGCAAGTATAATGGAGTCTCAGAGTCAGAAGAAGAACATTTATAACATGTCTTCTGCTTGTAAGTATGCATATAAAACAGAAGTGGCATAGAGCATAAATAAACTCTAAGCTACCTGATTCCCCCACTTCTGGCATGCAAGATAAGGTTTATAAATACTTGGAGCATCTAGGAAATTGATTCCTCGATATACGATTGATTGATTGATAGCTAGATAGCTAGCTAGAAATGAAGGAGGCTAGACTAAGGGTTAAGAGAAAATTATTTTTCCTTCTTCTATAGATAGATATAGCAAAAATATAATAGAATTTCATTAATTAGGGCTGGAATGGGAGAAATCCACACTGATTTAGTCAAAGGTATATATTATGAAATATATTAAAATTAATTTAATGTTATTTTAAGGAAATGATATTATTGTCAATATTACAAAATATTTAAGAGAAAATATTACACACAAAACCTCAAACAATCAGATTTAGTTCATATATATTGACTTAAATAATAAGGAATGCAATACATACCAAAAATTTGGCATACGTAGTCACAGACTTATAGACCCATTGATGTCTCTACTACCAAGTTATTGGTTTCATGGCCATCCAACTTTCCTTTGGACTAAAAAAGGATTCAGTTAGCTCGCCATAACATTTTATGATAAATTCATGGTTAAACTATACTTTTAAAAGATAACTACTAATTTTAGTTTGAAAACTAATGCACACTTTATCTAAGGTCATAAAAGACACATTGGTCATTGTTATTTATTCTTGCTTTACTCAGGTTTTTGTTGTTTTCTATTGTGAGAGTGATCAATTAAGATTGCAGAAAAAACTCTGAATAATATTACCAAAAAGGGAATATATTGAGAGGATCACAGCCAGTACAGGTGAAAAAGCCTACAATAGGCTTAAAAAAAAATAACACAAACTGGGGAATCAGAAATTAGACTATTATACAGGAGTGAATTGGCTACCACAGGATAAGGGCACACCTATCATTGTTTAGGGTTTTGCATCATTCTCCAAGAGTCTGCATCCTAGAGCAGATGCTATTTAACGTACCTAAAGTTGTGTTTCCATCCCCTTGGTTAGAAAAAGTCAAGATACTTTGATTGACAGGCTTCTTAATCTTGCACACAGTGAAGAGATAATTTCCCAAAAAGGATATGGGATTTTTTCCCAGATCAAGGGAAAACAGCGTAATGAATACTCAATAAAATAGGAAATATCTACTATACTAGAATCTGCTCCTAACAACTTTAAAATTCAACAACATTCTTTTTAGGGGCATATACAAACTTCCTCATATGGTTTGTAGTGGAAACTGAATGATAAAGGACCTTTTATGTCAGGAGTTTGGAATTCTGCCAAGCAGGTTATGAGGTCCTACTGCAGTGATATGATTTGTGTTTGTGTGTTTATTTGCTTAACTACTAATGGAAATGTGTGAAGTGGGTTACAGGAGTAAACCCAAGTATTAATAGAAAGACTAGTTAGGCAGCTGGCAAAAATTTAGTCAAAGCAAAGTTATAGGAACCAAATGTAAGAAAATGTCAGTAGAGCTAGAAAAAAGGGATCTGTATTAATTAGCATTTTGTATACAAAAAAAACCCACAAAACTTACAGATTTAAAACAACTACCACTTATTTAGCTGATTGGTCCTCAACCAGTGAAGTGGGGAAGTGGGTGGGACATTTGGCAATGTCTAAAGACATTTTTGGTTGTCACAGTGGGGGTGAGGATGCTGTGGTCATCTAGTTATTAGAAGCCAGGCATGCTGCTAAACATTTTATGATGCACAGGAAAGTACCACTCCTCCCCAAGAATTATTCAGTCCAAAATGTCAATATTACCAAGGTTGAGAAACCCTGATTTAGCTTAAGAGTCTGCAGGCCATCAGTATGGTTTGGGCTTCATTGGAATTCTGCTGATCTGGGCCAGGCTCACCTGATCTCAACTTGCTGATTCATACATCTCTGGTCGACTATTAATAGCTGGTCAGGTGGGAGCTGGCTAAGCTAAAGGGCTCAGCTGGAACAGCTCCTTTTTGATCCCTTTGGTTTCTCATCCTCTGGAAGAATGATCAGGCATTGTTCATACAGTGAAGGCTACAAGAGATCAAGAAGAAATATGCAAGGCCTCTTGAGATCCAGCCTCAGAATGCACACTGTTGTGTGTCAGTCTCATTCTCTGAGCCAAAGCATGTCACCAAGCCAGCCCAGAATTAAAGAATGGAAAAATAGACTGTATCTCTTGATGAAATGGCTATCAAAAAAAGTGATCATTTTTATAATCTACCAAAGAGAGAATTTTGAAATAGCTAGAATATAGAATCAAAAATAGTTGGTGGCTGCTGGTAAAAGGAGAAAGATAGTGAAATTAAAATTATACTGACCAGAGATCCATGATTAATTGAATCCTGTTTTTGGGACTTACCTCTCCACATGGTTCCCAGAAAAAAATATAGACACAGAAAAAAAAGCAAAGTAAAATTGACCCATTTTTTTTCTATCTGAAGAATTTGACTCAAAAACCAATAGAGATGTGTATTAGTCCATTCCCACACTGCTATAAAGAGCTACCTGAGACAGGGTAATTTATGAAGAAAAGAAGATTAATTGACTCAATGTTCCACAGCCTGTACAGTAGGCATGGGTACGGAGGCCTCAGGAAACTTATGATTATGGTGGAAGGTGAAGGGGAAGCAAGCATGTCTTACATGATGGGAGCAGGAGAGAGAGACAGCAAAGGGGGAAGTGCTACACAGTTTTAAACAACCAGATCTCATGAGAACTTATTATCACAAGAACAGCAAGGGGGATGTTTGCCCCCATGAGCCAATCACTTCCCACCAGGTCCTTTCCCCAACACTGGGGATTACAATTCAACTACATGAGATTTGGGTGGGGACATAGAGTCAAACCATATCATTCTGCTCCTGGCCCCTCCCAAATCTCATGTCCTTTTCACATTTCAAAACACAATCATGCCTTCTCAACAGTCCCCCAAAGTCATATCTCATTCCAGCATTAACTCAAAAGTCCAAGTCCAAAGTCTCATCTGAGACAAGGCAAGTCCCTTCTGCCTATGAGCCTGTAAAATCAAAAAGAAGTTAGTTACTTCCGAGATACAATGTGCATACATGCATAGGGTAAATGCCGCCATTCCAAAAGGGAGAAATAGGCCAAAACAAAGATGCTATAGGTCCCATGCAAGTCTGAAACCCAGCAGGACAGTCATAAAATCTTAAAGTTCCAAAATTATCTCCTTTGACTCATTGTCTCACATCCAGGCCACAGTGATGCAAAGGGTGGGCTCCCAAGGCCTTGTGCATCTCTGCTTCATTGACTCTGCAGGGTATAGCCTTCATGGCTGCTTTCACAGGCTGGCATTGAGTGACTGCAGTTTTTCCAGGTGCACAGCACAAGCTGTCAGTGGATCTACTATCCTGGGGTCTAGAGGATGGCAGCTTTCTCAAAGCTCCACTAGGCAGTGCCTCAGTGGGGACTCTGTGTGGGGGCTCCAACCCCACATTTCCCCTCCACACTGCCCTGGTAGAGGTTCTCCATAAGGGCTCCACCCTTGCAGCAGATTTCTGCCTGGTCATCCAGGCATTTTCATACATCTTCTGAAATCTAGGCAGAGGCTCCCAAAGCTCAATTTTTGTCTTCTGCACAGCCGCAGGCCCAACACCACATAGAAGCTGCCAAGGCTTGGGGTTTGCACCCTCTGAAGCAACAGTCCAAGCTGTACCTTGGCCCCTTTTAGCTACGGCTGGAGCTGAAGCAGCCACAATGCAGGGCGCCATGTCCAGAGCCTGCCCAGAGCAGCGAGACCCTGAGCCTGGCCCATGAAACCATTTTTTTTTTTTTTGCCTCCTAGGCCTCCAGGGCTGTGATGGCAGAGGCTACCATGAAGGTCTCTGAAATGTCTTGAGGCATTTTCCCCATTTTTTTGGCTATTAACATTCTGTTCTTCTTTACTTGAATCCACCCCCGGAAAATGGGTTTTCTTTCCTCCCAAATGGTCAGGTTGCAAATTTTTCAAACTTTCCCTCATCTTCTTGTCTTCTTCTGAGCCTTCCAAACTGTTTCAACCTCTGCCCATTACCCAGTTCCAAAGTTGCTTCCACATTTTCAGGTATCTTTCTAGCAATGCCTCACTTCTCTGGTACCAGTTTTCAGTGTTCATCTGCTCTCACGCTGCTATAAAGAACTACTTGAGACTGGGTAATTTATGAAGAAAAGAGGTTTAATTGACTCACAGTTCTGCAGGCTGTACAGGAAGCATGGCTTGGAGGTCTCAGGAAACTTACAATCATGGCAGAAGGTGAAAGGGAAGCAAGCATGTCTTACTATGACCAGAGCAGGAGAGAGAGAGTGAAGGGGGAAGTGCTACATACTTTTAAACAACCAGATCTTGTGAAAACTCATTCACTATCACAAGAACAGTAAGGAGGAAATCTGCCCCCATGATCCAATCACTTCCCACCAGGTCCCTCCTCCAACATTGGGAATTAAAATTCGACATGAGATTTGGGTGGGGCACAGTGCCAAACCATATCAAGAGGTCTTATGAATTATCTGTTTTCAAAAGAAGTTTCTTTTGCTAGGCAAATTCAATCTTAAAAATCGACAAGAAAAGCAGAATGAAAGATCTGTCTAGTCCACCCAAAAATACAAATCTTTCTTCAAAATGCAGAAAGTTCACACCTATGGGATGGGATGGGAGAAGGGAGGAAAAGAAGGAAAGAGAAGAAAGAGGAAAGGCATGGGAGTGTAAAGGAGAGGACAGAAGATGAGACAAATGAATGCTGTATGGGGGATCTTCCAGGGAGCCTACAGTCCTGAGGGAAGAATGCATCCTCGAAAGACTTTACCGCTGTACACTGGCCTCACAAGGCCAATGCTAAATATATGCTCCTGAACCTAAGCAACTTTTGGCAATATTTCTCCTACAAGGGAGTACACAAGGGAATGCTCTTCAACTTTCCTTTGGGAGGAAAATGTGGGGAGAAGGAAACTATTTGGCTTCAGCTTCCATCTCCTCATCAGCTGTGAAACATTAGATATGAGAGATGAAAAAAGGGAAAAGGTAAAGAATGACTCCCAAGTCACATATTGGGGACTTGGGAATTCAGAGTTTTATTTGGACTGGATGCAGACATTTGGGTATACCAATTTCAGCACCAACTTCAGCATAGTTGATAGCTGATGTTGCATGTATGAAGAAAACTACCTGTGGAGGGTATGCAAAGTGAGAAGAGAAGAAAGTCAATAACAGAACCTTGGAAAATATTAACACTTAAGCAGCAAGTAGGAAAAGAGGAGCTCATCGAGTTGACTCAAAAGATTGGCTGGCAATTTGTAAGTAGAAAATCACAAAGGGACATGGATGTATAAAACATCCAGGAGGAAGAAAGTTCCAAAAATAAGACCATGCTCAAAATAGTCGAATGCAGCTGAGAGTAAAAGTAAGATTAAAGACTGAAATGAATATTGGCCTTAGCAATGATCATGGGTGATGCATTAGTTTCAGGAGTCAATAGAAAGTGAGATTAAGATTGTGGGTAACTATTGTTTTATTGCATAGAGAAGGAGGAAGGACAGAGATATTGGAACATGTGTGAGTTAAGAGATAGTTTTTTTTATTTAAAGAGATTTGAGATGTATCTACCTGCTGAGGGGAAGAATTCACTGGAGTGGTTGAAGATACATAAAGGGGGAGAAACTCAGCACAGTAATAGCCCAATATATACAGAATAAATGAGATGAAGGACATGTTGAATTAAGAATCTCTTGTAAGGTAGAGAGAAGTAGAACCTGATCAGTGAAAAAGGTTAGGAGTTGTGGGTTTTCAAGTGGATAGCTGTTTCTTTCTCTGTCAAGCAAGGGACAGCCATCAGTTACCTGTTCTGGGAAAGATAAGGAAGGGGCATGGGGTAGAATGGATTGGAGGATTGGAGGACAGTGATGAATATAATATCATACTCTACACATATAATTTTTATTTTATAAAGAATGTGACAAACTAGTGGTAAAAAAAAGCATAACTAAAAAATAAACAAAAAAATACAAGTATTTAAATGGAAGATGATCTAGCAATATTTAACTTCATATATAGAAGATAAACAATTTGGGAAACACACAAGAGCAAGAACTGCAATGCATTTATTCTGCATTTATTGAATAACTTTGCCAGGTCCTCCAGAAAGTAATAAGGGATCCTATGCTAGCTCAGAATATGGCAAGGAAGAGACCCAAACAAATCATTGTAAGAAAAGCTAACCACAATGGAGACACACATGATGCTCTGGAAGGAGATATGCAAACACTCCTTCCAGAAGGGAAGAAATGAATCAGTCAGAGAAGATTTCAAGAAACAAGCAGCATTTGAGCTGAGATTCGAAGATAGAAAGAAGTTCATTAGGAAGCTGGGGCCTGGGTCAGAAAGGGCATTCCAAGAAATGGAACAAATATGGAGAGGTGCAGAAAAGTATCCAGAAGAATTGAATCCAATGGACAGACAAGGAGGCTTCATCTCTCTACAGCTGCATAAGTAAAAATAAGAGGCTGAGCATGGTGGCTCATACTTGTAATCTCAGCACTTTGGGAGGCTGAGGAGGGAGGATCACTTGACCTCAGGAGTTGGAGACCAGCCTCGGCAATATAGTGAGACCTTATCTCTACTAAGAACAAAATAAAATAGAAAATTAGCTGGGTATGGTGGTTCATGCCTCTGGTCTCAGCTACTGAGGAAGCGGGAGGATAGCTTGAACCAAGGAGGTTGAGGCTACAGTGATCACGCCAGTGCACTCCAGCCTGGGTGACAGAGCAAGACCCTGTCTCAATAAATACATAAATAAATAAATAAATAAATAAATAAATAAAGGAGTGTCATGCTTTACCAACTAAGCTTGCCAGGCACTTAAATAATCCTTGTGTCCCTATAAAGCTCTCCAACTCCTCATACACATTATGGGTAAGAAAATTGGAGCAAGAAAATTAGGGCTTTTTCCTCCTCCACTATCTCATAAATACTTGGTAACATTTCTCCACCATCCCCAAGTTCTTGCTAGGTAATTTGATAAATACATTTACCCAGATAAGTCACAGTTTAATCATTGCTTTGCATTCTGCCCTCGTACTTCTAGACACAAAGCCTTTCTAAGAGAGAAAGTTTAGGCCCTGAGGAGGAAGAAAAGGAAAGTAAATGGAAAAGGGTGTCTCTCAGCATTTCTCCTCAAATCATATGTCACATCATTTACTCTTTTTATACCTTAATGCTGGTCCTGAATAAATGAAAAGGTTGCATTGTGTCCTGAATTTTAAAAAGTAACGTAATATATAATCCATTCACCACATTAATTCAGGTGCAACCTTGGACAAATTGCTTTGAACAATTTCAGCCACTAGGCAAGTTTAACTGCAAAATGCTCCATTCTCTGTGAGGTAAACCTCTGGGAAATATAGTGAATTTGAAATTGTAAGAATAATTCAAATGTGTATAAAAAAGATAGAACAAAAATATGCTTTCTAAAAAATTGGTTAAAAATGCTATCCAAGTTCAATTTGAAGTACTATTATTCTAATCTTTCTATTAAAAGATAAAACATGAGAGAAAACATTACATACTTTATAACCTTTGCTGATGCGTAGAAATGCAATTTATTTTTTAAAGAACACAAACACTACTACAATTCTTGAAAATACCAAGCTTTGAAATCATCTTAGTTAAAAATAAAGTTTTGGGAGGGGACTGCCTAGGGATGCAAAGAAAAGTATGGAATTTTGCATTTCTTTAAGTAATTTTAAAATCTATTTTATAATGCCCTCACTTGTCAGAGCTAGCAGCAAACAACACTAGCTTTGTCCTTGGTTCCACTTATAAAGGTGAGGGGACAGATGCCAGCAAAATTTTAAAACCTCAAATCATGTTTTTCTCAGAATATGAAAGGGAAGTTTGACTATATCACATGGTTTCAGGTGACACTAAATGAGTTCCACTGCATTTTGTTTTTCACTCATAAAGCCCAAGGTATGCTGAGGGGTCTAAAAATAGGAACAATAAGATCCATGGGACAACCCACAGCACACCTGGATCATTTGTTCTCTTCAAAAACCACAATCTCTCTGTATCTCTGTCTCAGTTTCCATCTCTGTCTCTCCCTTGTGCTCTCCCTCTCTCTCTCACACACACACACGAGTTCCAGAACTCATGTTATGGTTTTTAAACCCATAGTGTTTTAAATTTCTTTTTATTTTTAAATGTTAATATTATTAATTTTTTTCCAGCCACAAAGTAGATAACATTTTCAGAGTCTTCCCAGTCCTCATCAGAAGGACCAGTCAAGATGACTGAGTACTATTACTATTATTCCCTTATTACTACTGTAATAAGAGAATTATGCCTTATTCCCTTACATCTCTGTTAAAATGAAAAAATACACAGTGCACACACATAAATATTCTTTAAAAATTGATATGTAAATCAATAGCGCTTGATAAGGAAAAAGCTTTTTGGCATAGATCTCAATTTCCTAGACAAAACGGCAAGGCGACATAAAAATCTCAATGCAGACTTTTTACTAAGTCGGAATTTATGATCACTCAAAATAAAATTGAGCCAAAGTGTATCTAATCGTGTACAATTATTACAAAGTTGTTTTTCTAGGCATGTAAATTCCTTTTAGATATTTTCATCTATGAGAATGCATAAAATTAGAAAGCGCTGTTAGACAGCATTCCCCTCTCCATCCCACTCCCCAAGCCTGGTTCCCTTTTTATTCATTTCCTCCGCCTCCTTAGGCAAGAATCTTAGAAGCATCCTAGATAAAAGATTGCTGGTGCCTACTCTCAATGACTCTTTGCAAAGCCACCTCACCCCAAGACATGGCCCCACATCCGTCTACCCTTTCCAGACAGTTACACATGCCCATATTTCCAAAGCAGTTTATACTTTCTTTTCTCTTATCATTTATCTATTCTCATTGTCATTATGTGTCATTACTCCTTCACCCTCCATCTTCTTTCTCTCCCTGGAATACAGGGTATTTCTTTTGGACTCCAGATCTTTTTACCACCTGGAATGCTCTTCTTCCAGATCATCACATGACCTGATCCTTCTTATCATTCAAGTCTCATTGGTGTTGTCACCCAATAAGAAATGCCTCCTCTGAACGCCCTGTTCCTTTACCCTGATTTCTTAGTATTTTTACTGATACTATGTCATTTGCTTGTTTACTTGATTATTATCTATCTTCTCCCTCTCCCCTGTCCCTGCTACCACCACTAAAACGTAAGCTCCTTAGCGCTTAAGAACAGTGGCGGGGGCATGATAGAAACTCAATGTACATTCTTGGAATGAATTAATGAAAAATGAATGCTTATCTCCCCTACTAGACAGTGGATTTCTGCAGGGCAGGGGCCATGCCTCATTCATTTTCTTTGTGTCTAACATTTTGGGTAAAGGGAAATCTAGTAGGGTTCAATAAATGGTCACTAAATAAATGATCTATTAATCACAGAATAAATAATTAATAATAATATTTTTATTATACATACAGGAAAATGTTGAGCTTAAAGAGATTATCTGCCTAGATTTGGTTAGACAGTTTTAGAAAGGGCAACAAAGGCAGGACAGCTGCAGGGACTCAGATTTAGGGAGTGGATTTGAGTCTCTTAAACTTTCATTGTCTGTTTCAAGTTGAAAGAGGTGAAGTGATTTACCCATGGTGTTTAAAAGTAATAAAATTATATCTTTTTAAAACAAAATGTATTTAATTCTTTGCAACACTACAGGCTAGCCTTCTTTTCAAGGCCACAAAAATTGTGGCTTTTATATGCTGTGAGGCTCAGAAAGGTTGCCAAGTATTCAACTCTAAAGCTTGAGGTCCTCAAAGAGAATGGGCAGTTTAGTGCAGAGGCCAAAGCCAGGAGAGCTGGATAGACAATCTATCACAGCCCTGTCATATCACCGGGGGACCGAGACTCTCTAGGGAAAAAGGGTTGCTGCCCTTGGGAAGAACTCTTTAGTTATATTGATTATATTTACCAAACCAAATATTGTGACATGCAATCTAAGCAGATCTGTGTACAATACATAGAATGTTTGAATCTAATGCCAACTTAGAAAATCTGGGGCTAACATTTGCAATATTCATAGGAGAACAAATTAGTTTGCATACTCTTCCATAGTTGAGTGAAGTGTCCCACAAAACTTCTCATCCTTTCCAACACTATTTGATTTTATTGATTCCAAATTTTAGTTCAGTTTTGAGGTGTCTTAATACTCCTCAAAGGATCCTCATATTTTGAATTTGTTCTGATATCTAGGAGATATTATCTTAGAGATGGATTATGAACGTATCTACTTTGAGTTTCATTAGGGCTGAATCACAGTTTCAGAGGAGAAAAAGCCAGAAGGTTCTTCTCAACTCTGAGATTCTATGGTTCTGTGATTCAATCCTTTGGAGCCTAATGACCCCAGTTTGAACTGATATACACTGGTAGGTGAAGTGATAGGACAGAGGAATGGATGCTGGAAACTGATGACAGAAGTCTGAAGTCCTCCTATGACACTTGGCCTCATGAAATGGAAAAGACTTCTACTTTCTTACCTCAAAAGTCTGCTAGAGAAGTTAGCTACTGTGTATGGGTAATTGCCCCCACTCTGGACTCTAAACCTCTACCTAGGCCACACCCTATTTCTAGAAAACTGTTATCATCACCAGATCATCAAGGTTATCTCCTTTCTTCCCTTACACAGTCTTTAGAATCCACTCCCACCATGTTGCCTCTCCTAAGCAACAAGAGGGCAAGTAGCATACCTGCCCTGGGTTTTGTGTCCTAGGTAAATTACTTATTTACTCTGCATATACATGGTCTCAATGAGCAAAGATGTGTTGTGTCCAGTTTCTATTTCTGAGCATGTAATTGAAAACATATCAAACTGGGCCTCAGCAAAATTTGGAGGTGGAAAGTATGGGTCAAATTGGTCACATTTTCTGGGTGAGAGGACCATGAGCTAAGTTACATTAAAAGGCCTGGTAATCAGTTTCAAGGCATTCAACATTCAATAGAGAAACTGCAAGAAAGTGGGGAAAGTCATACATATTTTAAAAATTACCTTTATCTTTTACTCAGACAACCCCTAAATTGTCAACCAACTAAATATACTATACATTGAAACACACTTGATACTCAAAGTGTGGCCCATGGACCAGCAGCATCTCTCAGGAGATTGTCAAAGTGCAGAATCTTCCCTTGAGCCCAGGAGTTCAAGGTAACAGTGAGCCATGATCATGCCACTGTACTCCAGCCTGGACAACAGAGCAAGACTCTGTTTCAAAAAAAAAAAAGCAGAATCTTGAGCACCACCCAGGACCTACTGGATCTGAATCTGTATCTTCAAAAGATACCTAAGTGATTGGTATGTGACTTAAATCTTGTAAAAGACCTTCCAAGACCAGCAATCCTCAAAGTGTGCTCTCCAGACTAGAAGCATCAATTGGCATCAACTGAAAACTTATTAAAAATGCAGAACCATGTGCCCATTCCAGACCTACTCAGTCTAAAATTTTGGAGTAAGGACCAGTAATCTGTGAATCTGTGTTTGGTTTTTTTGGTTTTTTTGTTTGTTTGTTTGTTTGTTTGTTTGTTTGTTTTTTAGACAGAGTCTGTCTCTGTCATCCTGGCTGGAATGCAGTGGCACAATCTTAACTCACTGCAACCTCCGCCCACCGGGTTCAAGTGATTCTCCTGCCTCCACCTCCCCAGTAGCTGGGACTACAGGCGCCCGCCACCGCACGTGGCTAATTTTTGTATTTTTAGTAGAGACGGGGTTTCGCCATGTTGGTCATGCTGGTCTCGAACTCCTGACCTGGGCCTTCCAAAGTGCTAGGATTCCAGGTGTGAGCCACAGCACCTGGCCTCAGTAATCCGTGTTTTAACATACCCTCAGTGATTCTGATATATCCTCAATTTGGAGAATTTCTGCCTCTGGCCTTTTTCAATTTATATTAAAGAAGAACCATCTTTTGACAAAAGTTAATTTAATTCTAAATGTTTCAAGTGACTAAGAGAAAAATATACCTGTCTGGACAATTTTTAAAATATTGTGACAATGCCCACCAGTATTTTCCAAAGATATATCCTTATGATTTTATTTATGCACTAGTCAGAATTGATGAATGTGTATGTTGAATACCATTTGCTAATTCATCTGGCATCTGGCAAAACCATATCACATTAATATGATGGATGATCCTGCTTCTTTGGAATGAGAAAACTTCCACATGGAGGCACAGTAATTATTCCTGAAGGAATGAACATAATGTAAACTGTCATTATGGGTAAGTTTTGTGGGCAAAGGATGCCCAGGAGAAAGGCATTATGTTAAGCCTTTATTCTCAGCAATGGTGCTCTGCAGCCTTGCTCCCACTTAAAGTCATTATCAGAGCTGCCTAGACCTTTCTGCCCTTTGTGGCTTTGGGCTTCATTTAGCGGGTTATGGGATGTTTCAAACCTCTACTTAACGCATTTGAAATATTTTCTACTTTGAAACTTTTTCTCCCTTGAAAGGCAAGGTAGCTATTAGCATCAAGAAGAAACCAAAATGAGCACAACAAATACACAAGTGTCTTTCACAAATGTAGCTTTGCCCAGATGAATTTTTAAAGGTATTTTATGAAGAATGTTAAAATACATGAAGTTATTTTCTAAGTCAACCCACCTAGCAATTTTATTTCTAGAAATGTATATTAAAATATATCCCCAGATGAATATATAGACATATGTACAAGAACATTCATTACAGCATAGATTGCTGAAAACAAGCAAAATGTCCACAGTCACAAGGAGTAACCAACCAGAGCAAGTTCCCCTGGGGAGGCCTCTGGTGTGTGCCAGGAACCAGCTCTTTAGTTTCCAGATTATGAGAGAAACAAGTGTATCAGTCTCCTAGGGATGCCATAATCAAATACTGCAGACTGGGTGGCTTAAACAACAGAAATTTATTTTCTCACAGTTCTGGAGGTTAGAAGTCCAAGACCAAGGTGTCCACAGGTTTGATCTCCCCTCAGGACTCCCTCCTCGGCTTGCAGACAGCTGCCTTCTGACTGTATCCTCTTACGACCCTTCCTCTGTTGGTACACATCCCTGGTGTCTCTTCCTCTTCTTATAAGGATATCAGTCATATTGGATTAGGATATGTCCCTAACGGCCTCATTTTAACCTCTTTAAGACCTATCTCCAAATATGTTCACATTCTGAGGTCTTGGGGAATGGAATTTTAACATACAAAATTTGGGGATACCATTCAATCCACAACAACCAGTCAGTCTTAGAGAGTAGCTGGGTCATAGAGGGTTATTTACTAAATGGTTCAGAAGTACTTTAATATTTTCAAAACTGGTACAGTTTTCAGTAAGTAGTGGCTGATTATTAACCCTGGCATGGGCTCTGAAACAATTGTAAAAACATGTGAAAAACCTTAAAGGTTAGAGGAGCCCCTTCAGGGACCTCCAAGATTGAAGATTGAGGCTAAGTAGGTGGGCTCGGAGACTATTTCTGGAATTTAGTTGTTTTACATCTAATAGACCAAATAATGTGCTGTGGTTATAAATATAGGATTTGGAATCAGAAAGAGTTTGCATTTCTGTTTCCTACCTGTAAAATAAAAATGATAATAGTACCTATCCCTAAGATTGTAAGCAATAAGATAATGATATAAAATGTTGATGATATGCCAGACTCAAAGTAGATACTCAATAAACAAGACATTATTGTACCTTTATATAAGCTTACTTTTCTAAATAGTCTTACACACATGCAAACACACAAACACACACACACACACAGTGTTCCTTATAACAAACTGTACTAGGCCTCTAAAGACACTTTTAGTTCTAGAACTCTTATTCTAAGTGATACTTGGCCACAAGTGATTCACAATAAAGGATTGAAATTTTTAAACACATTTATTGCTTTTATTATAAAAATAAATTGTGCTTTCCTACTGTATGGGAATTCTACTTTTAGCAGTCACATTGCTTGATTTAACTGGCAAGTATTAAAATAACAGTGTAGTGCTCACCTGATAAAACATTGTAACTTCTGTTAGATTACTTTTTATATGGTTATATTAGTAAACTGCCATTTATGTATTACAAATTGAATTAAGTAATATGTAATCATTAGAATAATGAAATATGTATTTTGCGTACCAATATGGAATAAACTTAAAGATGTATTAGTGATGAAAGCAAAGTACACAGAAATACTCAAGAGTATATGTTTTTTAAAAATAGGTTTTTATATTGTTTAAATTTTTACCATGTGTATGAATTACCTTTTGAAAAAAATAGATTTTCTCTCACAGTAAAATATAAAAGGAGAGAACAGATGCTCAAGATTCCATTTTCAAACAGAAATCGCAATCAACAGCACCAGTAGCAGCTGCTATTTATCTGTATTTGATAAGAGCAAAGCAACAGATAAAAATGAAAAATAAACTAAATGAAAAAGGCATCTACAGAGATCAAATTCCAGGCGACTCCCTTCCCACTTGCCTTTGTTGTAAGTTCCAGAATAGTTTCTCAGCACTAAGAAATTCTCTGATTTAATGGAAACAACAAAGGATGTGGCATCAGACTGAGCTGGGTTCCAATTCTACTCTTCTGACTTTCTAGCTCTGCAAACACAGAAAAATCCTTTTACCCTCTGAACCTCATTTTCATCAGCACACAAGCATCAAAATGTCTGTCCTTCCACCACTTAGAGTGGTTTTGAGGCTTAACTGAAATTACATGTATACAAGTGCAAGGCAAACAATATAGACCAATATGCACCTTTATCTCATTCATAAATTTCTATTTAGCTTGTGGGATACAGATACACATTCATTAATTCATTCAACAATAACAAATAGACCCTTCTAAATACTGGAACTAAAATAGATAGCAGAACACATTCATTCTCTGCCCTTTTGAAGCATAGACTCTCGTAGAAAGATAGAAGACAGAACAGACATCCATCACATTAAATTGTGGCAAATGCTATGATACAGATAGATAGGATACCCTAGAAATGCATATAAGGCACATATACTCACCAAAGATGTCTGGGAAGGCTTCTGGAGGAAGTCATGTTCAAGTGAGGCCTGATGAAAGAGTAGGAGTTCACTAAGTGACCCAGGGGAATGTCGTAGGCTTCCCACTGGCTTGGCTGACCCCTGAAAGATAAAACCTGACAGGTGAACAGTGCAAGTTGAGGGCTCTCAAAGCAGCTCCCCTTGCATTTGACTTGTTACAGCCAATCTCTTCCATTCCTCTCATGAAAGTAGTTGTTGGACACAATTAAGAAATGTGACAACGGCAGCTCAGAGAAAAGAAGTTGAAGGTCACATAGCTACTGAGTGGCAAAGCCAAGATTTTGATTGTCCCAAACATTTGAAACACTCAACTGATGGAATTTTTTATTTTTATTTATTTTTTATTAATATATATTGATCAGTGGAGTGTGTCTTATTATATTGAAATTCTGACTCAGCACTGGGTATGTCTAGGATTTCAGCCACACTGCAATACATAGAAGAGTGCTTGGTGCATAATAAGTATTCAGTAAATATCTCTTGAATGAATTAATAAATCCCAAGTTTGAAGGATCACTTAGAGGCATCCTTTGTCTTTTGAATAATTAATTCATGCTGCCATCCTTGAATTGAAATTAAAGCATTTTAAAGGTCTTAGGGAACTTCAGAATCCTCCCAAACCAGGGTGTTTTGAAACTGGATTGGATCTTATTTCTTTCTACAAAATGCTAAGGAGGCATCACGGCATGTAAAGCCAACTCCATCAAGAAGTCCACTTGGGCTCTGAGATGTGTGAGAAATGACACTGCACAAGAGTCCAACTGAATAGTTCGGGAAATAGGCCAAAGGATTAAAAACAGTATCATGTAAGGATTAGGAATTTAGCTTAAGACATGGCTCCCTAGTATAACGTCAACATGACTCATTCATTTTGAGTTGGCTGAAGAAATTTTAGATGCATTTTGAAAGATCATCTGGCTTTCCTCTTACAACATAGATTTGATCCTTGCACCATCCAAACCAAACAGTCTAATGCATTGAAAAATGTGCCTGAGAAGGAAAAACAGAATCATCATTACTTTTTCTTTTTCCTTTTACCTGAAACCTAGGTGTGAGGTTCTTGAGAAATTAGTCTTATTACATTGACCAAACACTAATGCTTTCTGGAAAACTTTGTTCTTCTGGAATTGCACAGAGTATACTTTTAAACATGGCATCTGCATCTTAGATGCCCTATTTTAAGTCTGATTAATCTAATCCGGGGAGGTAAATTAGGCCCTTTAGTAGTCTATTAACTTTCTCCTACCCCGAACGGAAAATTTATTAAATTATCTTTATGTGTTCCAAGAAAGCAAACTTTGAAACTGGCCAGCAAGCTTGTAAGAGCCTAATGACGATCGCGGCATGAGTTTCCATCAGCTTTTGGTGTTATTTTAATACAATCCAAATGTAGACTTAAGCTATTAGTGTGTACTCACGTTCTCTCTCTCCCTGTGCTTGTCTCTTTCTCTTCCTTAAAGTACAAACACATGCACACACTGCCACTTTCTCTTTCTCAACACACACAGGCTTGAATAATTTCTATTTATTTCTCAGTTCTACTTTCCTCTCAGAATTCCTTTCCTGACCCCCAAATCTAGGTTCAGGTGTTCCACTAATGCACTCTTACTGCAACAGCTAACTTGTCCATCTCTACACTAGTCTGCAGACAATATGACGGGGACTGTTTTTGTAATTGACCTCTGTATCCCCTGGGCCCTGGCAAAGTACCTAGTATGTGGAAAGCACTCAATACAATTTTGTTAAATAAGGAAATGAATGAGTGCATTAATCTAGCCCTTGTATGCTTAGATCTGCCAAAAGACAAAGCTACAACAAATTTATCTTAAAGATCTCAATTGGCTTTATTGCATTTTTAGAATTGGGCAACACTTCATTCCATAAAATAGAATAAGTGTTCCAATAAGCTGAGTGGAAGGGTTTGGTTTTATAGACGGAGAAGAACTGAAGAAAGCAGAAATGTAGAACAAAATGTGACTGGTCATTTCAAAGCTATTTCCCTTGTAAGGCAGGAACAGGGAAACAATAGAGAAATAACTGATTGCTTAATATCAGGTTACTTCAGGTTACCTTCCCTTTAAAGATTAAAGGCAGAGGGAACTTCATTATCCTGTAGATTGAAACCAGTCTGTTTGGGAAATTAAGCTGTTATCTCTCCTTTTGGGCTTCTCCAAAGGTTAGATAACCACTCAGTTTTGGTTTGGTAATGTGGAACCACAGCGTGAGCGACTCCGTTTTGATTTTTAGTCTGATCTGTTGGGGTCTAGTGTAGGAGTGTAGCTCAAAACAATGGCCTCCTATAATTTTTTATTTACCAGAAATAAAAGGAAATATACAAATGTAATCCATTCCTTGATGATCCTCTATCAAGAAGTAAGTCTTTAATTTCCCCAGTTAAAAAAACAATTCATCTTCCTAGAACCTCTGGAATGAACAGTTTTAGACCCCAAAGTAAAAAATACATACAGTCAAGCTAACTCTGTTTAATTAAATGTTTTCCGTAAGTATTGAAAAACAACTTTTGAGCAATGTGAATAGCTATTGTGTACAAAAGTTAGGTAGAATATAATATTATCCTTATTTTTCAGCAATTATATATTTACAATATATACTTGTTTCACAAAACAAGAGAGAAACAGGCAGATTTTTTTTACTCCCAGTTTAGTGGCTCTTCAATACAACATGCCACTAACAAAAAGGTATTAGAAAGAACCAAAAGAAAATTCAAAATTCAGAAATGGCACAAAAAGATGATCTTTGTTGTAAACAAGAAAATAACAGAAGCCAATTTCTACAAGTATGCACTAAAACATATAGGGAAAATACCTTACATCATAATTTAGTCCCTAGGACCAATTTTGAAAGTCAAAACTTCATTTTATACCTCTGCATTTCACAAGATCACATACCAAGGAACATATGAGGTCTTCAATTCTTGGGAACTAAGTCTGTGGTTTACCGCCCAAGGTCTCTCCCAGGTTTTTGTTATCACTGGCAACAGAACCACTGTTGGAAGCCCACTGCAGAATTAAGAATTCACACAATCTGAAACTGCTTATGTCAGGCCTTTCATAAGGGTGAAAATAATATTCAACAACTTTCAGCATGTGCTTACCACATCTGCACCCATTTTGGGTCAATCAGAAAAAAAAAATGCTGGAAAGAAATAAGCCACCCATTCAGAAGTAAAAACAGGGAAAGCCAGCTGCATACAAACCCTGCAGATTGTGCTGATGAGATCCATGGATGGGCAGAAAGAGCTGCTTCAGGAAAAGAAAATCTAACTTCTGAGCAAAAAGGCTCAGAACATAGATAGGACAAAAATGCTCTCCATTAAATGCAATTCCTAAGAATTCAGGGAATGTGTTTTATTCTATCCCAACAGTAATCACAAAATAGTCTTTCTTTCTCATATGTACTGATTGATTCATTGATTGATTGTACCCCCTCATCATGTTTTTTATTGAAAGAAATATGGAGAAGCACAAAGAAGTAAAGATTTTAAACAATCACTCACTATCTCATCACTCAGTAATATCTGTTATATGTCCACTGATGGCTAAAATCTCACCCACAATTCCTCACGGCCATCAATAAATTAGAGAGAGAACTTTTTCTATTAAACTTTCTTCCAAAGAATTCATGTCAGTTCTTTCTACAATCAAACTTCTCTTTCAGTATGAGTTTTTAATCAGCAAAACAAAACTCAAGATAGAATCTAGTGTATTCCATAGTTGTTCAAATTGTTTACAGCTTAAGTTTCTCGCCTTTGCACTGAGTGAATTGAGACACAAGTATGCTGGAATAGGAATAGATCTGAATGTTTAGAGGGGTCCAAGCTCACACTGGTGTCTCAGAGATATGAGGGAGATAGTTGAGTCCCAAGGCATACCTCCAGGGTCTAAATGATGAATCACCTCACGTCTGCAATTGATCTGCCTTCTTTGCTGTTTGCTCATTAGGTTAGAGTTCCAGGTTTAATTCTGGCATAAACCAGTTACTTTTCTCTTTCCCAAAGGCCACAGAGAGCAACATTAACTGGTTGTCTCTCAAAAGGTGCCATTCATTAATGAAGAGATTGGGAACGATCATCTAGATGCATTTGTACAAAATAATCCAGGTAGGAAATGGACTCTTCTGATGGTTATTCCATCTCAGGCACATTATCTACATTACATAATGTACTCCTAAGAGTAGAATAATTGTTATTATTATTAGATGAGAAAATGAGATGCAGGGAGATTAGTAACTAATGCAAGACAATACTGCTGATAGAATCAGGATTTAAGACTCCAAATCCATGCTTTTCCCACTATATTACCTTACCTGGCTGGGGAGAACAAACCTCAAATATACCTATTTGATGATAAATGTGTGAGAATATATATATATACACACACAAACATATATATATACACATATATATATATAAAGTAGGTATATTGTGTATGTATATCTCACAGTGACTCCAAATTTTTATTTTTATTTTTATTTTTTGGAGACAGGCTTGCTCTATCTCCCAGGCTGGAGTACAGTGGTGCAATCTCGGCTCACTGCAACCTCTGCCCCGTGGATTCAAGTGATTCTCCTGCCTCAGCCACCCAAGTAGCTGGGATTATAAGTGCACGCTACCACACCTGGCTAATTTTTGTATTTTTAGTAGAGACGGGGTTTACCATGTTGGCCAGGCTGATCTCGAACTCCTGACCTGAAGTGATCTGCCTGCCTCAGCCTCCCAAAGTGCTGAGATTACAGTTGTGAGCCACCATGCCCAGCCGACTCCAAAATTCTTAAGGTCCTATAGTACCAAAGTCAAAATTCCCAGGGAATTTTTAGTAAAACACATCAATCTCATATCTCTATGTTATTTATGTAAAAATGGCACCTCTATTTATATGGTTTTCATGATAATTAAACAAGAGAGTGGCGATGTGATGTATACACTATAAAGCACCATGAACACATAAAACATTATTGTTTGAAAAGTCTTTGAGGCCTTAGTTAACAACAACAACAAAAAAAACTCTGCAAACAATAAATCAATCAGTATTGACAGTGAAGTTCAAAAATGTTTATATTTCTTCTAAACTATCTGGTGAACATGCCTTTTAAATCCTTGTTCAAGTCACTCAATCCATAACAATTTATGGAATCCTTTTGTATTTTGACAATAAGTCTATACACATACAAACCCATTTTCCTTTTGTGAGATTTCCGTAAGTCATCTGTCTCTAAACCTATCTAGGAATGGAAGTAGAATGTATCCAGCAGTTCAAGTTGTCATTAGTCATTGCTATGTGATGTGGGATAATGCCTACTCCAATCTCTCTACAAGCTAAGAAGAAAATCGTTTTCTACATTCTCCTTGCTGGACCTCTGGATGCACAGAGGGAGAGCAGACATGACTGGCCTGGTCAATAGAAATATTTACTTACCTGATGGCATGAATAGCCAAATGAGCTAAAATTGGCCATGAAAACTGGTTTCTATGAATAATACTAATACATTTCCTGGATCAAAACTCTAAAAGGCTGAGCTTTATAAGGGATAACTGACATTTCCTTAAAAATTGCTCAACATGACATGTACTGAACCTGTCAAACTGCTGGGAAAATTACAGAAAATAAATTTTAGGGTGATTGGCAAAATGGCTTTGGGAAAATGATTTATTATTTCCAATAAGGAATGAGAAGGTGAAAAATGAGATGTAAAAAGACAAAGAGAAGAACAAGAAAGGAAAATGGAAAAGAAGAAAAGAGAGAGAAAGAATGAATCCCATGCCAACTTAATTCGACCATCCACTATCGTATGCAAAGGCCCAAGTAAGGTACTTGGGAGGCTACAAAGAAAAATAAAATGCATCCATGCAACAAATTCAACAATTATTTATGGAGCTAGGAAAGAAGCAACTATCTAATATGCCACAGCAACTGGAAATATATCTAAGATTACCTGAATGAAAAGTAAATCAGAAGTGTACTTGAAAAGTAATCTGTTTATTTAAACAATTGTTAAAAGACGATATTTTCTTAAAGAAGCAATCTTGGTCTTTTCCTGAAACAGAACTGGGTGATGGCTGTTACTTGTGTCTAATCAGATTGGCCCAGAACCACCATGCACAGAGAACATTTCATCATCTTTTAGCAGGGCCAACGTCATATAGACAATTTAGTGGGGATAGTAACTTTCCAGGGGTTTTCTGATTTTAGCATCATACAGCGCAGGGATAAATGAGCTGTAGTTTCCCACATTTAAGTTCTAAATTCAGCTATGTCACTAATTACCCTTGAGATAATTACAGTAGATGACCCAGCATTTATTTTTTATCTTAACAAGATTTTGACTCAATACATAGTATTTTCAAATATTATTTTGAAAAAAAATCTCTGAAATAATTATATAATGAACATTCAATTCTTAGATCTTTCTACTTTGAATAAGTAAATATAAATGTATTTCAGTTAAAAGGCTTAAGAGTAGGATGAGTCAAGAATAACGATAGTCATGAATCACTTAAGAACAAGGATACATTCTGAGAAATGTATTATTAGGTGATTTTGTTGATGTAAAAACATCATAGAGTATACTTACACAAACCTAGATGGTATAGCCTAAGACACACCTAGGCTATATGGTTATATGGCTATATTGCCCCTTAGCTATAAACCTATACAGCATGTTACTATACTGAATACTCCAGGCAATTGTAACACAATGATAACTATTTGATAACTATTTGTGTATCTAATTGTATCTACACATATGAAAGGTACAGTAAAAATACCATAATCTTATGGGACCATAGTTGTATATGTGGTTCATTGTTTGTCAAAATGCGATTAGTGGCACTTGACTGTTTTGTGAACATGAAAGAGCAACTGGCCTACAAAACTTCATTAAATTGTTCCTATATCTTCTTGACCATATCCAAAAATCTCCCAGCTAAGCTTCAAATTTAAGTGTATGCATTGTTTTAAAGAATTGCTGCTGGGTGCAGCGGCTCATGCCCGTAATCCCAGAACTTCAGGAGGCTGAGGTGGGTGGATCATCTGAGGTCAGGAGTTCAAGATCAGCCTGGCCAACATGATGAAACCCTGTCTCTACTAAAAATACAAAAATTAGCTGGGCATGGTGGCACACGCCAGTAATTCCAGCTACTAGGCAGACTGAGGCAGGAGAATTGCTTGAACCCGGGAGGGGGAAGTTGCAGCGAGTCAAGATTGCGCCACTGCACTCCAGCCTGATGACAGAGCAAGATTCCATCTCAAAAAAAAAAAAAAAAAAAGAATCAGGCCGGGCGCGCTGGCTCATACCTGTAATCCCAGCACTTTGGGAGGCCAAGACGGGCAGATCACGAGGTCAGGAGTTGGAGACCAGCCTGGCCAACACAGTGAAACCCTGTCTCTACTAAAAATACAAAAAATTAGTAGGGCGTGGTGGTTGACACACCTGTAATCACAGCTACTCAGGAGGCTGAGGCAGGAGAATCACTTGAACCCAGGAGGCGGAGGTTACAGTAAGCCAAGATTGCACCATTGCACTCCAGCCTCAGTGACAGAGTAAGACTCTGTCTCAAAAAAAAAAAAAAAAAGAAAAAAAGAATCACTACTATAAAACCACAGGAGTAATATCAAAAAAATGAAGCTGCTCTTATGCACTGGTTTCCAAATGAAGCATACAGCTATATTTTGGCTGAACAAAGTTCAAATGTTTCTGACTTTATTTCTGCCAAGATTTATTCAAAACATGTTTCTAGTGCTGCTGGGAAAGAAATTGTATCTGGAAAAGACAATAACTAGCACTATAAATAATGAATAAATGAGTACAAATTCCCAGGAAACACCTCAAATTATTCTCTGTAAATCAAAAAGACGTGTGGTTGAATTCATAACATGTATATTTTAACTTGCTTCATTAAAAAGCATATTTTCTCTAATGGTAAATATGTATACAGACTCTAAGTATGCTTATCTAGTCCTCCATGCCCACTCAGCAATATGGAGAGAAAGGAAATTCCTAACTTCCAAGGGAACACCTATCAAATATCAGGAAGCCATTAGGAGATTATTATTGGCTGTACAGAAACCTAAAGAGTTGGCAGTTTTACACTGCTGGGGTCATCAGAAAGGAAAGGAAAGGGAAATAGAAGGGAACCGCCAAGCGGATATTGAAGTAAAAAGAGCCGCAAGGCAGGACCCTCCATTAGAAATGCTTATAGAAGGACCCCTAGTATGTGGTAATCCCTTCTGGGAAACCAAGCCCCAGTACTCAGCAGGAAAAATAGAATAGGGAACCTCACGAGGACATAGTTTCCTTCGCTCAGGATGGCTAGCCACCGAAGAAGGGAAAATACTTTTGCCTGCAGCTAACCAATGGAAATTACTTAAAACCCTTCTCCAAGCCTTTCACTTAGGCATTGATAGCACCCATCAGAGGGCCAAATCATTATTTACAAGACCAGGCCTTTTCAAAACTATCAAGCAGATAGTCAGGGCCTGTGAAGTGTGCCAAAGAAATAATCCCCTGCGCTGCAGGCCATACATTTCAATCCCTGTATCTTTAACCTCCTTGTTAAGTTTGTCTCTTCCAGAATCGAAGCTGTAAAACTACAAATAGTTCTTCAAATGGAGCCCCAGATGTAGTCCATGACTAAGATCTACCACAGACCCCTAGACCAGCCTGCTAGCCTGTGCTCTGATGTTAATGACATCGAAAGCACCCCTCCTGAGGAAATCTCAACTGCACAACCCCTACTATGCCCCAGTTCAGCAGGAAGCAGTTAGAGCGGTAGTCGGCCAACCTCCCCAACTGCACTTGAGTTTTTCCTGTTGAGAGCGGGGACTGAGAGACAAGACTAGCTGGATTTCCTAGGCCGACTAAAAATCCCTAAGCCTAGCTGGGAAGGTGACCGTGTCCACCTTTAAACACGGGGCTTGCAACTTAGCTCACACCCAAACCAATCAGAGAGCTCACTAAAATGCTAATTAGACAAAAACAGGAGGTAAAGAAATAGCCAATCATCTATCACCTGAGAGCACAGCAGGAGGGACAATGACCGGGATATAAACCCAAGCATTTGAGCCAGCAATGGCAAACCCCTTTGGGTCTCCTGCCTTTGTATGGGAGCTCTGTTTTCACTCTATTAAATCTTGCAACTGCAAAAAAAAAAAAAAAAAAAAAAAAAAAACCAAAAACATTTTCTCAAAAAATGCTTTATACAGTCTAAATGATCACTTTAGTTCAATGTTATTTGTATCTAACATCAGTTATGTGATATCAGCTTATGTTTTTCTAAATATCAAAGGGAACAAAATGTTATTTCAAGGGTTAAAACAAAAGCAGAATTTGCCCAGATCCGCCATGCACAGAGAGCATACATCACATGGTAACAGGGCCAACATTACATAGATTACAAAGATCCTCTTTATGCACGAAGAGAGAGGGGAAGTGAATTATTGTAGAAATGGTTTCTGTTAATTAAAGAACTTTTTTTATTATTAATTATTTATTTTTTTTGAGATGGAGTGTCGCTCTTGTTGCCCAGGCAGAAGGACAATGGTGCAACCTCGGCTCACCACAGCCTCCGCCTCCTGGGTTCAAGCAATTCTCCTGCCTCAGCCTCCTGAGCAGCTGGGATTACAATCAAATGTAGAATTAAATAATCAAAAAAAGGATTGAGCCTTTCCATTTTATAGCAAGCTATATGACAGCTACCAAATATTCTAGAGCAAATACATCTTGGAGAAATAAGGAATGGAGGGTCTATTTGTCCCCTTGTGTGGGCTTTAACCACATAGAAAGCCCAGTTTCTCATTTAATCTAATACATTTGCACCCAACAAACCCCACAACCTTGGAGGCAGATCAAGAACTTACTACTATCACCCCTCTAGAAATTTGAGCATCACTCCAGTCTCCCAGTAAGTTTTCTCAAGAGGAAAAAGAGAAAATATTAAATACCAACATAATCACCTGTAAAGGCTGTTTGTTTGTTTGTTTGTTTGAGAAGGAGTCTAGATCTGTCACCAGGCTGGAGTTCAATGGTGCGATCTCAGCTCACTGCAACCTCCGCCTCCCAGGTTCAACCGATTCTCCTGACTCACCCTCCTGAGTAGCTGGGATTACAGGCATGCACTCCCACACAGAGCTTAGTTTTGTATTTTTAGTAGAGATGGGTTTCACCTTGTTAGCCAGAATGATCTCGATCTCCTGACCTCGTGATCCACCCACTTTGGCCTCCCAAAGTGCTGGGATTACAGGTGTGAGCCACCGTGCCCAGCCAAGGCTATGTTTTTAATCAAGTTTTTAATCACTTTAAATAACAGATAATAGCCTTATTTGGATTATGATGATGATAGCAGAATGTTTTGTGGGATATTTTTGACTATTTTACTTTTTAAATGGGTCTGTTACAGTTTTATTTTAGTTTAATTCTCTTGAAATGTTTTTATGAAGCATCTCTTTTGTTCCAGGTACCATGAAAAGACACAGCCATTAACATATGTGTTCAACTAAACACAGAGCATTGACTTGAAACAGTACATGATCAGAATGAAGACAATACTATAAGGAACTACAGGGAGAAACTAATATTGTCAGGGTGGAGAGGATAATGGAGAAAACAAAGAAGGAGGCATTATACCTAGGACTCCAGGGAGAGAAGGAAACAGGCAAAGGAGCACATGAACATGAAAGTTCTGGTGTGTTGACACACGGGTAAGTGAAAGGACATTAGGTTAAAAATATAGTTATGGGCCACATTATGAAAATCCTTGAATGTCATGTTGAGGAATTCAGACCTTATCCTCCCTACAGTCAAATTTGTGGGGGATGGATAGAAACATGTAAAACTTTTACTATATTTTATATATTCTAAGATGTACATTTTTCACTTTTTTACAATTCTGCCATTACAATGCATCTTTCAATGGATAGTTCTACAGTAGGAGTTGTGACATAATTGTCATTGTCTACACTTGCAACTTATATTTTCCACCTTATGCATGCACAGGAATGATACATAATAAAAATCTGACAAAATAAGTCTAAAAGAGATTACAAGTATAAAATGAAAAAGTCTAAGTGATAAGAATTATTTTATAGCTTAGTTGGTAGCACTTTTTTTCTGGTTTGGTGATACATAAAATGAATATGTGGTAGATTGCTTTAAATATGCACTGGTCATATTGTGAAATGCTTAAACAGGGAATGGCATGATCAAATTTGTTTCCAAAGAATATTTCCTGTGAAATGCTAGTGGATATACTGGAAAAGGGAGATGTGAAGTCCAGTGACAAAGCTGAAAGCTATTCTAAGTCTAGACAAGAAAAGATGGGGTATGAACTGTAGTCATGGCAGTAGGGATTCTAGCAAAAGAGTCAAGATGCATTTTAACAGTATAGTTGATAAGAATCAGTGACCATCTTGATGTCATCTGATGAGGGAGAAGGACTTAACAGTAACTTCTTTAAGATTTTATGATGTTGTTGTTTGTTTTTGTTTGTTTACTATTGTCTGAATTCTTTATTCATTGAAATCAAAGTTCTGGTGTAGGGAGACAATCTTGTAAATAGTCATGCTGTCAAAAAAAAAAAGGAAATGAAATGTCTTTCTCCCTCTGGTTTTGTCAACAGCCCATTTTATAAGAGCTGTCATTTTGATCGATCCACATAGTCTTTATGACTTTGAGGATGACCTGTGGCTAGCACTAATAATCTGACCCATAAAACCACTCATCCAGACAACCAGCTGAGCCACCAGCTTAAATTTCCCAGGAGATTGACCTTTGCACCAAAATTACTGGGGAGACCTTTGGAACATCTGTTTTATTTCCAGGGTCATTGGTATTTATTTGAGGAACTAAAGTCATGATCTTCAACATCCATAACTTTCTGACACCAAATAAGCCTCCTGATGGGGCCACAACATGGACCAAAAAGGAAGGACAGCATGCTCAGAGGAATTTAGTTTTGGAAAACTGCTATAGTCCTACACATTTAATAGCTGTCTTTAAGCATGATTAAAATAAAGCACCATAACCAACGTGTGAGAGTCTCTCTAATGTTTATTTTTTCTTTGGTGTGCTTTTAATAAAATCAAAAGGCAAGACTGAGATCACTTAAAGAAGAGTTTGATTTTTCAGGAAAACAAAGAGGTTGACTAGGAATGGAATGATCCCCTAAAAGGCTCACAGAATCTAATTGCATGGTGATTATCGCTTTTGGCAAAGAAATCATCTTATTAACCACCTTGTAACTCCTAGGTAACTAGGACATTGGAATCCAGAACTCTCAAGAACAAAGCCTGTGTAACATGATGGATCATGCCAGTCTCCAGCCCACCTGAATAAATGTTAATTCTCTGGAGTTAAAAAAAGATTAAATCATTTACTTTTTAATACAAGTTCATAAATTCAAATGCAAGAGATATATTGTATTTAGATGGACACACTTCACAGTATACTGAAAAAACATACAGGCTTAGCTTTGAATCCTTCCCACTACCCCCACCCGCATTTTGTTAGCTCTTTAACTAGAAACATCTTAATTTACCTAAACTTCTGCATAATTCTCTTAATTATCATTTGACTATTTATTTCTTGACAATGGAATTAACTTAACAAGATTCTCAGTAATTCTCAAAGTTTTCTTTATAGGTCCCAGCATTTTAGGCTAACTCTTACTCTAGCCTCACTGCACCCCGTAGGGAGAGAGTATCAAAATCCTGTGCATATGATGAACTCACCAAATTTTTTAGTGGCATATAAGTAGGTGGACCATAGAATTTATTATCTACACTAGGACATTTTTTAGAGTGAAGGAGAACATTGTTAATAATTATGCAGGAATAATGGCATAATCCAGCTCAGGAAGAATGGTCATATTACTTAAAAGGCTCTGAGTGATCTGGCCTCTGGCTAGTTCCCCAGCTTCATTTCCCTATCCATGTATTAAAAAAAAAAAAAAAAAAAGACTGTTTGTATCGAAACATTCTTTCTCTGATTTAATAATTTCAGAATTGAGCAAAATATTTCTTCAGAAAATTAAATTCTAATAACTACTTTCCAATAGATTATGTTTTGACCAAAAGCCCCTTGCATTGAAAAGGAAATATTTTGTTAAACTAACTTAGTATTATGACCTAATAGTCCTAAAATAGAGTTGAAAGATAAGGTTGAAATAGTATTTCCTTACACATGATCCAAAGGTATTAATAGTAGGATTTCAAAAAAATTCTTTGCCCCAGGAATATTTAAAAACTCAGGTTAAATGATGTTAAAAGGATTTCCTTACTGCGGATCATCTTAGAACCTTTGACTGTGAACCTCCAAGAGAGGGACGACAAGCTGTATTTTCCTAACTTATGAGAGCCTGAAAAGCTCTTTTCAGGAGATAAATATTTCTCCTGTTTCATGGAACACCTTTTAAGAAATGCTGATCAAGAAAAAAAATTGTAACCCGCTCCTGAATGACTACTGGGTACATAATGAAATGAAGGCAGAACTAAAGATGTTCTTTGAAACCAATGAGAACAAAGACACAACATACCAGAATCTCTGGGACACATTTAAAGCAGTGTATAGAGGGGAATTTATAGCACTAAATGCCCACAAGAGAAAGCAGGAAAGATCTAAAATTAACACCCTAACGTCACAATTAAAAGAACTAAAGAAGCAAGAGCAAACACATTCAAAAGCTAGCAGAAGGCAAGAAATAACTAAGATCAGAGCAGAACTGAAGGAAATAGAGACACAAAAACCCCTTCAAAAAATCAATGAATCCAGGAGCTGGTTTTTTGAAAAGATCAACAAAATTGATACACCGCTAGCAAGACTAATAAAGAAGAAAAGAGAGAAGAATCAAATAGACACAATAAAAAATGATAAAGGGGATATCACCACTGATCCCACAGAAATACACACTACCATCAGAGAATACTATAAACACCTCACACAAATAAACCTGAAAATCTAGAAGAAATGGATAAATTACTCAACACACACACCCTCCCAAGACTAAACCAGGAAGAAGTTGAATCTCTGAATAGACCAATAACAGGCTCTGAAATTGAGGCAATAATTAATAGCTTACCAACCAAAAAAAGTCCAGGACCAGATGGATTCACAGCCAAATTCTACCAGAGATACAAGGAGGAGCTGGTACCATTCCTTCTGAAACTATTCCAATCCATAGAAAAAGAGGGGATCCTCCCTAACTCATTTTATGAGGCCGGCATCGTCCTGATACCAAAGCCTGGTGGAGACACAACCAAAAAAGAGAATTTTAGGGCAATATCCCTGATAAACATCAATGCAAAAATCCTCAGTAAAATACTGGCAAACCGAATCTAGCAGCACATCAAAAAGCTTATCCACCATGATTAAGTGGGCTTCATCCCTGGGATGCAAGGCTGGTTCAACATATGCAAGTCAATAAACATAATCCAGCATATAAACAGAACCAAAGACAAAAACCACATGATTATCTCAATAGATGCAGAAAAGGATTTCAACAAAATTCAACAGCCCTTCATGCTAAAAACTCTCAATAAATTTGGTATTGGTGGGACATATCTCAAAATAATAACAGCTATTTATGACAAACCCACAGCCAATATCGTACTGAATGGGCAAAAACTGGAAGCATTCCCTTTGAAAACTGGCACAAGACAGGGATGCCCTCTCTCACCACTCCTGTTCAACATAGTGTTGGAAGTTCTGGCCAGGGCAATCAGGCAGGAGAAGGAAATAAAGTGTATTCAATTAGGAAAAGAGGAAGTCAAATTGTCCCTGTTTGCAGACGACATGATTGTATATCTAGAAAACCCCATTGTCTCAGCCCAAAATCTCCTTAAGCTGATAAGCAACTTCAGCAAACTCTCAGGATACAAAATCAATGTGCAAAAATCACAAGCATTCTTATACACCAATAACAGACAAACAGAGAGCCAAATCATGAGTGACCTCCCATTCACAATTGCTTCAAAGAGAATAAAATACCTAGGAATCCAACTTACAAGGGATGTGAAGGACCTCTTCAAGGAGAACTACAAACCACTGCTCAACGAAATAAAAGAGGATACAAACAAATGGAAGAATATTCCCTGCTCATGGATAGGAAGAATCAATATCATGAAAATGGCCATACTGCCCAAGGTAATTTATAGATTCAATGCCATCCCCATCAAGCTACCAATGACTTTCTTCACAGAATTGGGAAAAAACTACTTTAAAGTTCATATGGAACCAAAAAAGAGCCCACATTGCCAAGTCAATCCTATTCCAAAAGAACAAAGCTGGAGGTATCATGCTACCTGACTTCAAACTATACTACAAGGCTACAGTAACCAAACAGCATGGTACTGGTACCAAAACAGAGATACAGACCAAAGGAACAGAATAGAGCCCTCAGAAATAATACCACACATCTACAGCTATCTGATCTTTGACAAACCTGAGAAAAACAAGCAATGGGGAAAGGATTCCCTATTTAATCAATGGTGCTGGGAAAACTGGCTAGCCATATGTAGAAAGCTGAAAGTGGATCCCTTCCTTACACCTTATACAGAAATTAATTTGAGATGGATTAAATACTTAAATGTTAGACCTGAAACCATAAAAACCCTAGAAGAAAATCTAGGCAATACCATTCAGGACACAGGCATGGGCAAGGACTTCATGTCTAAAACACCAAAAGCAATGGAAACAAAAGCCAAAATTGGCAAATGGGATCTAATTAAACTAAAGAGCTTCTGCACAGCAAAAGAAACTACCATCAGATTGAACAGGCAACCTACAGAATGGGAGAAAAGTTTTGCAATCTACTCATCTGACAAAGGCCTAATGTCCAGAATCTACAAAGAACTCAAACAAATTTACAAGAAAAAAACAAACAACCCCATCGACAAGTGGGCGAAGGATATGAACAGACACTTCTCAAAAGAAGACATTTATGCAGCCAACAGACACATGAAAAAATGCTCATCATCACTGGCCATCAGAGAAATGCAAATCAAAACTACAATGAGATACCATCTCACATCAGTTCGAATGGCGAACATTACAAAGTCAGGAAACAACAGGTGCTGGAGAGGATGTGGAGAAATAGGAACACTTTCACACTGTTGGTGGGACTGTAAACTAGTTCTGCCATTGTGGAAGACAGTGTGGCGATTCCTCAAGAATCTAGAACTAGAAATACCATTTGACCCAGCCATCCCATTACTGGGTTTATATTTGGGATATAAACCCAAAGGATTATAAAACATGCTGCTATAAAGACACATGCACATGTATGTTTATTGTGGCACTATTCACAATAGCAAAGACTTGGACCCAACCCAAATGTCCAACAATGATAGACTGGATTGAGAAAATGTGGCACATATACACCATGGAATACTATGCAACCATAAAAAAGGATGAGTTCCTGTCCTTTGTAGGGACATGGATGAAGCTGGAAACCATCATTCTCAGCAAACTATCGCAAGGACAAAAAACCAAACACATGTTCTCACTCAGGTGGGAATTGAACAATGGGAACACTTGGACACAGGAAGGGGAACATCACACACTGGGGCCTGTTGTGGGGTGGGCGGTGGGGGGAGGGATAGCATTAGGAGATATACCTATGTAAATGAGGAGTTAATGGGTGCAGCACACCAACATGGCACATGTATACATATGTAACAAACCTGCACATCGTGCACATATACCCTATGACTTAAAGTATAATGAAAATATATATGTTTTTTAAAAAATTGTAGAGAGTGACGTCAGCAAGATGGCTGAGACACTGCACACTCACCTTCCCAATAAGAAACTAGGTAACTAGGACACTGGAATCTGGAACTCTCAAGAACAAAGACTCTGTAACATGCTAGGTCATGCCAGTCTCCAGACCAAGGCAATGAATTAACAGCTAAGATTTGACTGGAGTGTCAAAGGGAAAGTGCTAGAGTGCAGCAGGGGAGTGGAGACACACATGTGATTGAAAGGCCAGGAGGACAGCATGGAGGCACTGGGCCTCTGTAGCCCTGTTTCTTCCACTCAGGGTGTGATCTGCCTAGAGTTAGGAGGGACTTGCCTCACCAGCTCCCATTGTCACCACAAACACCTACAGTACGTACAACAGGAGAATTTCAAAGTCTTATGAATTGTAGAGCTGCCAAGAATTCACACAGCTGCATTGCCCCAAATTAGGAGCACAAGGTGGGCACTCTCCACCCTCCATCTACCTGCAGTGAGCCAAGCTGTGCAGCATGGTGCCATCTTGAAACCAGAGCCACCTCTGGTGTGTGCCCTTCTCTGGGGAACAGTAGCTGCTGCACCTCTCCAGCACTGAGGCTCCATCTTCATTATACCAAGCCCATGCCAGGGGCTGTATGCCACAACCCCAGCAGCACAGAGACTGGGCACAAGATCAGCTGTTACTCTGGTCCTACACATCAGGGAAACCAACTTCTGCTGCCCTCACTTCCAGACAGAGGAACAGTTTAATAATAGTCCTGCCCCAGGTGAACCCACCCTTAAGCCTGCCAAACCATTGCACTCCATCCTCATATGAGAGACGCCCTCAAACCTCCAAGCCTCCAACCCTCCGAGCATTCCTGAGCTGGTGTAGCAACTAGGCACCTGCACCCAAGGCCTGAGAAATAGCCCTGAGGTGCCCCTCCTCCTGCAGACAAGACCCTCACCTGCTCAATGGACATGCATTCATAATCAAAGTCTGAGAAATAGCTCTGTGGGATGCCCCTGGCAGAAATTCCCCCAGGCTGGCCAAACAACTACACACCCAATTCCCAGAACTGAGCAACAACTCCACATGCTGTTCCAAGGAGGCATGCCTCTGTGCTGGCCAAGGAACTATGTGCCCTCATCCTGGGCCTGAGAAAAACACCTTGGGAGATCCCTAAGAGACACATTCCCAGAACAGCCAAGAAGCTGTGTGCCTGCACCCTGAGCCTCAGAAACATCCCTGTGGCCACTCCATGGAGACAAACCCCTAGGATAGCTAAGAAGCTTTGGTCCTGTGTCCCAGGCCCGAGGAGCAGCCCATGGGGCTGCCCCTAGGTTAGTCAAGCAGCCTTGCACCCACATCCTAGGCCTGAATTTCTGAACCTGAAGGCAGGTTTTTTGACATATCACAGCCAGACCAAAAAAAAAGATTAAAGACTAAAAAGAATAAAGCTCTGTTTACAGGATTTATGAGACACCATTAAGCAAACAAATATTTATATTATAGGCAATTCAGAAGAACAGGAAAGGGCAAAGAAAACATATTTAATAAAATAATCACAGAAAACCTGAAATCTTGGGAGGGAGATGAACAATCGAGTTAAGGAAGCTCAAAGGATTCCAAATAGATTCAAATGAAGCAAATCCTCTTCAAGGCATAATATACTCAAATTGTCAAAATTAAAAAAAAAATAGTATTTTAAAAGGAGCATAAGAGCGTGACGTTAAATATATGGAAATCCCCATTACACTAACAGCAGATTTCTCAGCAGAAACCTTACAGGTTTGGGGAGAATTGGATTGTATATTCAAAGTATTGAGAGAAAAAACTACCAATCAAGATTATTATAGCCAGCAACACTCTCCTCTGGAAATGAAGGACAAAATAAAATTTTTCACATATAAGCAAAAAATAAGAGAATTCATTACCACTCGACTGGAATTACAAGAAATACTCAAGGGAGCCTTACATCTTGAAGTGAAAAAACAATAACCACTATCAAGAAAACAAGTGAAACTAGAAAACTCACAGGTAGAGCTGATACCCAAAGGAGAAAGAGAAAGGAGTCAAACATTTTTACTACAGAAAACTACCGCACTGCAAATGTAAACAATGAGAGAATGTAAGAGACAAAGAATACACAAAACAACCCAAGACAATCAATATAATAAGAGGAGTAAGTTCTCACCTAACAGAAAAAACCTTGAATGTAAAAGAGTAAAATTCCCCATATGAAAGATACAGACTGGCTGAATGTATACAAAAACAAAACTCAACTATATGCTGCCTACAGAAAAACTCATTTCACTTGGATAGACACACAGAGACTGAAAATGAAGGGATGAAAAAATATATTTCATGTAAATGAAAGTAGATTTACTTGTATCAGACGAAACAGATTTCAATTTAAAAGCTGTAAAAAGAGACAAAGAAAGACATATTATAATAAAGGAATCAATTCAGCAAGAAAATGTAACAATTATAAAAATATATGCACCCAGTACCAGAGTATCAAGACATATAAAGCTGGCCGGGCACAGTGGTGGTTCACACTGGTAATCCCAGCACTTTGGGAAGCTGAGGCAGGTGTTTGATGACCTGAGATCAGGAGTTTGAGACCACCCTCACCAACATAGTGAAACCCTGTCTCTACTAAAAATACAAAAAAAGTTAGCCAGGCATGGTGGCATGCTCCTGTCGTCCCAGCTACTCAGAGGCTGAGACAAAAGAATCGCTTGAACCTGGGAGGCAGAGGTTGCAGTAAGCTGGGATCATGCCACTGCACTCCAGCCTGGGCCACAGAGCAAGACTTCATCTCAAAAAAAAAAAAAAAAAAAAGATACATAAAGCAAATATTATTAGATCTAAAGAGAGAGACAGATGCCAGTACAACAGCTGGAGACTTCAACACCTCATTCTCAGCAGTAGGCAAAGCATCCAGAGAGAAAATCAACAAACAACATCAAATTTAAACTGCACCATAGACCTAAAAGACATCTACAGAATATTTCACCTGTGGCTATAGAACACACATTCTACTTAGCACGTGAAACATTCTCTAGGATTGACTATATGTTAGAGCACAAAATGAATCTCAAAAAGTTAAAAATATTTAAAGTCATAGTAAGTATCTTATCTTACCACAATAGAGTGAAACTAGACATTAATAACAAGATAAACACTCAAAACTATACAAATACATGGAAATTAAAAGGCATTATCTTGAAAAAGTAATAGGTAAAGGAAAAATTAAGGCCAGGCACGGTGGCTCATGCCTGTAATGGTAGCACTTTGGGAGGCTGAGGTGGGCGGATCACAAGGTCAGGAGATCAAGACCATCCTGGTTAACACAGTGAAACCCCGTCTCTACTAAAAATACAAAAAATTAGCCAGACATGATGGTAGGTGCCTGTAGTCCCAGCTACTCAGGAGGCTGAGGCAGGAGAACAGCATGAACCCAGGAGGCGGAGCTTGCAGTGAGCAGAGATCGGGCCACTGCACTCCAGCCTGGGTGAAAGTGCGAGACTCCGTCTCAAAAAAAAAAAAAAAAAAGAAAGAAAAGAAAAAATTAAGAATGAAATTTTCAAATTTCTTAACACAAATATAAATGGAAACACAGCATACCAAAACCTACGGGATGCACCAAAAGGAGTAGTAAGATAAAAATTTTAGCATAAAATGTCTACATCAAAAAACTGGGAAGAGTTCAAACAAACAACCTAATGATGCACTTTAAGGAACTAGAAAAGTAAGAACAAGCCAAACTCAAAATTAGTAGAAGGAAAGAAATAAGAAAAAATAAATGAAACAGCAAAAAAAAATAAAATTGAGACTAAAAAAATACAAAAGATCAATAAAATAAAAATTTTGTTTTTTGCAAAGGTAAACAAAATTGACAATTAGACTAAGAAGTAAATAGAGATGACCCAAATAAATAAAATCAGAAATGAAAAAGGAGACAACACAACAGATAGTCTCCCAAAGAAAAATCCAAGAATGGATGGTTTCACTGCTGAATTCTATGAAACCTTTAAAGAAGAATTAATACCAACTATTCTCAAACTATTGAAAAAAATTGAAGCAGAGGGAATTCTTCCTAACCCATTCTATAAGCCCACCCTAACCCTGATACCAAAACAAGACTAGGACACAACAACAACAAAAAAGAAAACTACAGGCCAATATCCCTAATGAACATAGAAATCAAAACCCTCAACAAAATTCTAGCAAACTGAATTCAACAACACATCAAGATGGTAATATACTGTGATCAAGTGGGATTTATCCAGGAAGGCAAGCCTGGTTCAACATATGCAAATTAATACACGTCAAATATCACACCAATAGAATAAAGGACAAACACTATAAAATTATCTTAATAGATGCAGGAAAAAGCCTTTAATAACATTCAACAACACTTTGTAATAAAAACTCTAATAAATTAGGTAGAGAAGGAAGCAGCTCCACATGATAAAGGTCATATATGACAAATCCACAGCTAACATCTTACTGAACAGAGAAAAGTTGAAAGCTTTTCCTCTAAGAACTGGAAGAAGACAAGGATTCCTATTCTCACCACTCTTATTCAACATAGTACTGGAAGTCCTAGCCAGAGCAATTAGGCAAAAGAAATAAAGGGCATCCAAATCGGAAAGGAGGAAGTCAAATTGTCACTGTTCGCAGATGACATGATCTTAGATATAGAAAATCCTAAAGACTCTACCGTAAAATTATTAGAACTGATAAATGAATTTATCAGTTGCAAGATACAAAATTAATATACAAAAATCAGTAGTGGGCCAGGCATGGTGGCTCATGCCTGTAATCCCAGCACTTTGGGAGACTGAGTTGGGACGATCACTTGAGGTCAGGAGTTCGAGACCAGCCTGGCCAACATGATAAAACTCCATCTCTACTAAAAATACAAAAATTAGCTGGGTGTGGTGGCAGGTGCCTGTAGTCCCAGCTACTCAGGAGGCTGAGGCAGGAGAATTGCTTGAACCGGAGCAGGGGCGGAGGTTGCAGTGAACTGAGATTGTGCCACTGCACTCCAGCCTGGGCAACAGAGTGAGACTCCATCTCAAAAAACAAAATAAAACAAAACAAAAATCACTAATATTTCTATACATGAACAACAAAATAGCTGAAAAAGTAATCAAGAATGCAATTCCGCACTTTGGGAGGCCGAGACGGGTGGATCACCTGAAGTCAGGAGTTCAAGACCAGCCTGGCCAACATGGTGAAACCCCGTCTCTACAAAAATACAAAAAAAAATTAGCAGGGCATGATGGCAGTGCCTGTAATCCCAGCTAGTCGGGAGGTTGAGGTGGAGGAATTGCTTGAACCCAGGAGGCAGAGGTTGCTGTGAGCCAAGATCATGCCATTGCACTCCAGCCTGGGCGAAAAGTGCGAAACTTTGTCTCAAAAAAAAAAAGAATGCAATTCCATTTATAATAAATACAATTTAAAAAATAAAATACCTAGGAATAAATTTTACCAAGGAGGTGAAAGATCTCTGCAAGAAAAACTAAAAAAAAAAAAAAAAAAAAAAAAAAAAAAAAGAAATTAAAGAGGATACAAGCAAATGAAAAGACATCCCATGTTTATGGATCAGAAGAATCAATATTGTTAAAATGACAATACTACTCAAAGAAATCTATAGATACAGTGAAATCTCTATGAAAATACCAATGACATTCTTCACAGAAATAGAAAAAAAATCTTAAAATGTGTATGGAAGCACAAAAGACCCCAAAGAGCCAAAGCAACCCTGAGGAAAGATAGCAAAGCTGAAGTTATCATCCTCCCAGACCTCAAAATGTACTGCAAAGCTATATCAACCAAACAAGCATTCTACTGACATAAAAACAGATATGTAGACCAAAAGAACAGAGTAGAAAACCCAGATATTTAACCAGTACTTACAGCCAACTGATCTTTGAAAAAGGTATTAAGAGCCCTCACTCAGGAAAGGACAGTCAGCAAAAACATGATGCTGGGAAAACTGGATGTCTATATATACAAGAATGAAACTAGACCTTCATATTTTACCCTATACAAAAATCAACTCAAATTGGATCAAAAACTTAAATGTGAGACCCAAAATGATAAAACTACTGGAAGAATACATAGGAGAAATGCTTCAGAACATTGGTCATGGAAAAGATTTTATGAAAAAGACTTCAAAAGCAACAAAAGCAAAAATAAATAAATGAGATTATATTAAACTGAAAACCTTCTGCACAGAAAGGAAGCCATCAAAAGAGTGAAAAGACAACCTACAGAATGAGACAAATGTTTGGAAACTACTCATCTGACAGGGAATTGATATTCAGAATATTCAAGGAACACATCTCACCAGGAAAAAAAAAAAATCCGGTTAACAAATGGGCAATGATCTGAATAGACATTTCTCAAAAGAAGACAAACAAATGGCCCAAAAATATATGAAAAATACTTAACATCACAAATCATCAAGGAAATGCAAATCAAAACTATAATGGAGTAGAATCTCATTCCAGTTGGTATGGCTACTATCAAAAAGACAAAAAAAGTGCTGATGAGAATGCAAGGAAAAGGAAACTCTTACACGCTGCTGGTAGGAATGTAAGCTAGTACAACCACTATGAGAACAGTATGGAAGTTCCTCAAGAAACTACCAACTGAACTACCATATCATCCAGCAATTGCACTGCTAGGCATTTATCCAAAGGAAAAAAATATATCGGTGACATCTGCACCCCCATGTTTATTGCAACACTATTCACAATAGCCAAGATATGAAATCAACCTAGGTGTCCAACAACAGATAAATAAATAAATAATATGTGATATGTGCACAATGGAATAGTATTCCTCCATAAAAAATAATGAAATCTTGGCATTTGCAGAAGTATGAATGGACTGGAAGACATTATGTTAATTGAAATAAGCCAGGAAGAGACAGTGAGATATCACGTTCTCAACTCATATGTAGAAGCTGAAAAGTTGATTTCATAGAAGTAAAAAAAGTAGAACAGAGGACATCAGAGGTGAGGACAGGTAGAGGAAGGAAGGACTAGAAAACAGCTGTTAAAGGATAGGTAGGAGGAATATCTTCTAGTGTTCTATAGCACTGTAGGATGACTACAGTTAACAACAACATGTTACATAGTTTCAAATAGCTAGAAGGAAGATATTCATTGTTCCCGACATAAAGAAAAAATAAATATTTGAGATGATGGATATGCTAATTACCTTGATCTGATCACTATACATTGCATGTATCAAAATATTGCTATGTACTCCATAAATATATATAATTATTATTTGTTAATTAAAAAATACAATGCCTTTTACAGGGTTAAAGGAATTAAAAGGCCTTTAAATAAACATAATTGTATTTATAAAAACAAAAAAGAAGAAAAATATTATACCTTATCTCCATTTAACTGGCCAAAGTGCTTGTTTTTTTTGTTTGTGTTTGTTCATATTTACTGCTTCCATATTTATTTACAAGCCTGAAGTGGCAGTTTATGTTGACTTGAGCATAATTATTTCCCTTATCAATTTACTCTTTTCCTTGATATTGTTTATGATTAGGTCTGAGAAAATACGTAAATGCAGCTATGAGGCTTGGGGGATATAAACTTTATTAATATAGTGTGTTTGTAGGGAGGAGTTTCTCCAATTCCATAAGCAGGTTTTTAAAGTGTAAAGAATGTATAGCACTCCACTCAATCTTTTAATTATGTTTCCACATTCTTTTTAACAACATATTTTCTATGAAACGAAACCAACCTGGATGTTTTCTTTCTGGATAATCAGTAGACAGGACATGCTCCCTCTTGTTTGATAATACTATCAGGATGTGAAAAATAAATCTTGGCAGAGCTATTGAGATAAATCCTCAAATGAAACTCAGATAAAGATACATGTAAACTTAGTAACTTTATATCCTTTTCAAGGAAAATAAAACAAATGTAAAAGGATCCAATGAAAAATTTAAGACCAACCATTAAAGACAATTTTTTAAAATGAAAATTCAGAAACACTGTCTTCCCAAGTATGATTTCTGAAGAAAACCTAATTTAAACATAAATCTCTATTGATAAATAAGTAAGTTATTACACTCAGCATTGGAGTTTTAAAATATTTTTCCACATGTCCTCTGATAAAACAGTTAAGCCTGAAAAAGACCCTATGAGATTTCTTATTGTCAGGTTTATTTATTTATTTATTTTGCTTTGTAGCTCCAACACTTATGAAATATTTTTCATATAATTAATTTTTAATTATAATTCTTTTAGAATGTACTTCTGAAAAGAGAAAAGAAACATTGACCACTAAATATCTGTATTGGTCCCTAGGCTGCACACAGCAGTGGTGGGGGCCCTGGGCCTGGCCCATGAAACCATTTTTTCTCCTAGACCTCTGGGTCTTTGATGGGAGGGGCTGCCATGAAAGTCTCTGACATGACCTGGAGACATCTTCCCCATTGTCTTGGTGATTAACATTTGGCTCCTTGTTACTTATGCAAATTTCTAGAGCAGGCTTGAATTTCTCTCCAGAAAATGAGTTGTTCTTTTCTGTTGCTTTGTCATTGGGCTGCAAATTTTCAAAACTTTTAAGTTCTGCTTCCTCTTGAATACTTTGCCACTTAGAAATTTCTTCTGCCAGATACCCTAAATCATCCCTCTCAAGTTCAAAGTTCCACAGATCTCTAGGGCAGGGGCAAAATGCTACCCATCTCTTTGCTAAAGCATAATAAGAGCCACCTTTGCTCCAGTTCCCAAGAAGTTTCTCATCCACATCTGAGACCACCTCAGCCTGGACTTCATTGTCCATATCACTGTCAGCATTTTGGTCAAAACCATTCAACAAGTCTCTAGGAAGTTCCAAAATTTCCCACATTTTCCTGTCTTCTTCTAAGCCCTCCAAATCATTCCAGCCTCTTCCTGTTACCCCGTTCCAAAATCACTTCCACATTTTTGGGTATTTTTACAGCAGCTCCCCACTCTCTGTGGTACCAATTTACTGTATTAGTCCATTCACACACTGCTAATAAAGACATACCCAAGACTGGGTAATTTATAAAGGAAAGAGATTTACTTGACTCACAGTTCTGCACAGCTGGGGAGGCCTCAGGAAACTTACAATCATGGCAGAGGGGAGGCAAACACGTCTTTCTTCATATGGCAGCAGCAAAGAGAAGTAGAGAGAGAAGTCAGGGGAAATCTTCTTATAAAACCATCAGATCTCATGAGCACTCACTCACTATCACAAGAACAGCATGGATGTAACTGCCCCATGATTCAATTACCTCCAACTGGGTCCCTCCCATGACATGTGGTGATTATGGAAACTACAATTCAAGATGAGATTTGCGGGGGACACAGCCAAACCATATAAATATCATAATTAACCAAATATATCAAAAATACTCAGCTTAAGTCATGGAATGGAGAATTAATGGGTAATATGCCAAATGTTGCCACCTTGTTTGAAGAAGAAGGATTAGATCACCAGTATATTCCTCATTTCTGCATGTTTCTTGAAAAATAAATATTGCAGTGGCTCAGACCTCAGACTTCAAGTCAGACAGCTATAGATGTAAGTCCTAGCTCTATCACTGAGTACTGTGACATTGGATGAATGTCTACACATCTCTAAGCCTCATCTGCAAATGGAATGCTAATTATAACTCACTTATGAGCTTCTTGTAAAAATTTAACAAACAGAAACGTAAAATATTTGACCCAAGTTCCAGCATATAGTAAACACTCAATACATGTCACTACTAAAGAGATTTAGTATTTATAAATGCTTTACTTGAAGGATAGTTTGAATTGTCTCGGTATGTTCCAAGACTCTAGGTTTCATTCATTAACAAATATTTATCATGTCTACTATATATACTAGATATATATCTGTGTTGCTATACATCTTTTGTCTAAGTCATTATACATCAAGAATAACGCTTTTATCAGCTTCCCTTTCTCTTCTCCTCTTTCTTTTACTAGCTTGTGCTTTCCTTTTCTTCCTCTCTTTCTTGGGATAGCAGTTTTGAAAATGCAACACTTGTTGTTATTGAAGGAAAATCTATAGAGAAAAGAAGTCTAAATACAATAACTGTTAGATTCTACCCATCAATGTTTCCAGGAGTCAAAGATTGCTGCCCAACCTACCCACCATCCTTTACCATCACTCCAGAAAAATAAACCAATACAGTTATTACCAGTCTGGGCCTCTATGTTAGTCTGCTAGAGCTGTCGTAACAAAATACCAAAGACTGAGCAGATTATATCACAGAAAGTTATTTTCTCATAGCTGTGGAGGCTAGAAGTCCAAGATTAAAGTACCGTCAGTGTTGGTTCCTGATGAGGACTCTCTTCTTGGTTTATAAACAGCTGCCTTCTCACTGTGTTTTTCCATGATTCTTCTTTGTGAGTGTGTGGTGAGAGAGATCTCTGGTGTCTCTTTCACTTCTTTTTTTTTTTTTTTTGAGACGGAATCTCACTGTGTTGCCCAGGCTGGAGTGCAATGTCATGATCTTGGCTCGCTGCAACCTCTGCCTCCCAGGTTCAAGTGATTCTTCTGCCTCAGCCTCCCTAGTAGCTGGGATTACAGGCACACACCACCATGCCTGGCTAATTTTTGTATTTTTAGTAGAGACAGAGTTTTGCCATGTTGGCCAGGCTGGTCTCAAACTCCTGACCTCAGGTGATCCACCCACCTCGGCCTCCCAAAGTGCTGAGATTACACGCGTGAGCCACCATGCCGGGCCTTCTCTTTCACTTCTTATAAGGACATTAGTCCTATCAGATTAAACTACCACCCTTACCACCTCATTTAACCTTAATTACCTCTGTAAAGGCCCCATCTCCCAAATACAGTCACATTGAGAGTTAGGGCTTCAACATATGAATTTGAGGGCAAAAGAGTTCAGTTCATAACAGCTTGCTTTTTCCCATTATCAAGAGATCATATAAGCCCTTTCTCCCCCTGTATGCAGGCATCTTTTTGGGAAAAGGTGCATAGGAGGACAAGGCTCATTCAGGGGAAGAAAGCGATGGTAGATGTCTGAAGTGGTTCAAATAATAAATTTATTTTTTGCACCTTTTTAAACAAAAGGTCAGGATATTTTTGGAAACTAAAGCATAACACTGATTTCTCAACTGCTTTCTTTCTCTCTGTCTTAGTCAGTTTGGGCTGCTCTAAAAAATATCCCATAGTCTGTGTGTGTGACTTAAACAATAAACATTTATTTCTCATGGTTCTAGGGGTTAGAAGTCCAAGATCAGGATGATGAGTTCTGGCTTGCAGACTGCCGACTTCTCCATGGATACTTACATGGAAAACACAGGGAGCTAGCTAGCTCTCTGGCCTCTTCTTAGTATTGCCTCTACTGGTTCCACTTTCAAGGCCTAATTACCTCCTAAAAGCCCCACCTCCAAACATCATTACCTTGGGATTAGTCAACATATGACTTTTGAGGGGACACAAACATTCAGTCCATTGCATCCTCTAATGAACTCTTATAGCACCTTCCTGTTTCATAACACCTGTGGTCTCCTACTTTGCAATATTCAGTTGTTTACATGTTTCATTTTTTTCTAAATATGCAAATATCTTGAAAATGAAATCCATATCCAGTTATTTTGTTCCTCATGGTAATTAACAGTGTTTCCAGAAAGCAATATTTCACTGATTTGATGCATTTTGAGTCAGTGCCTACCATATGCTACACTACTGCAATTTGATGAGAATTTCCTAATAAATACATAAATGAACTTATAAATAAATTATAAAACATTTAAGGATACTTGAAAAGCTGGATGTAATAATATTCTGATCTACATTTTAGATATTTGTAAAGTATATTTAAATTCATCATCACTCCTGCCATATATATGAGCAAACATATGGCTCAAAAATATTTTATTTTTGGCTCTACATTACACAGAAGTTTTGCATGTAAAAATTCTAAATAGTCTTTTTCACAATGAGGGAAGAATTAAATTTAAATTGCCCAGCACTATGCCTGACACATATCCATTGCATGGTAAATATATATAGTAATTCTATGTATCACTGGATAGCAGATTCCTTGAGGGCAGAAACTGGTTTTCTTTGTTTGTTTGTTTGTTAGTCTTCGTGATGGTTGATTTAATGTGTCAACTTGACTGGACTAAGGGATGGGCTAAGCAGATAGCCGGTAAAACATTATTTCCGGGTGTGTATGTGAGGGTATTTCTGGAAGAAATCAGCATTTGAGGCGGGGCACTGTGGCTCAGGCTTGTAATCCCAGCACTTTGGGAGGCCGAGACGGGCGGATCACGAGGTCAAGAGATCGAGACCATCCTAGCCAACATGGTGAAACCCCGCCTCTACTAAAAATACAAATATTAGCCGGGTGTGGTGGCATGTGCCTGTTGTCCCAGCTACTCAGGAGGCTGAGGCAGGAGAATTGCTTGAACCCGGGAGGCAGAGGTTGCAGTGAGCCAAGATTGCGCCACTGCACCCCAGCCTGGGTGACAGAGCAAGACTCCTTCTCAAAAAAAAAAAAAAGAAAAGAAAGAAATTAAAATTTGAATAAGTAGTTTAAGTAAGAAAATTCACCCTTACCAATGTGGGTGGGCATCTCTTGAGGGCCCAAATAAAACAAAAGGACGGCCAGGCGCATTGGCTCACGCCTGTAATCCCAACACTTTGGAAGGCCACGGTGGGTGGATCACAAGGTCAGGAGATCGAGACCATCCTGGCTAACATGGTGAAACCCTGTCTCTACTTAAAAAAAATACAAAAAATTAGCCGGGCATGGTGGCAGGTGCCTGTGGTCCCAGCTACTAGGGAGGCTGAGGCAGGAGAATGGCGTGAACTCGTGAGGCGGAGCTTGCAGTGAGCCGAGATTGCGCCACTGCACTCCAGCCTGGGCGACAGAGTGAGACTCTGTCTCAAAAAAAAGACAAAGGAAGAGTGAATTTTCTCTCTTTGGAAGCTGGGACATTCACCTTCTCATTCCCTTGAACGTTAGTGCTCCTGATTCTCAGGCCTTCAGACTCTGACTGGGACTTGGACTTATGGCTCCCCTGGTTCTCAGGTCTTTGGGCTTGGATCAGAAGTATTTCCTGTTCTTCAATTTGCAGATGACAAATCGTGGGACTTAGCTTTCATATCCCGTGAGCCAGTCTCATAATAAATTTTTTTCTCTATATCTATTCATGTCCTATTGGTCCTGTTTCTCTGTAGACCCCTAATATAATCCTCATAGCCCCAAAAGTTTGTCTCTAATTTAGCAGTTGTTCAAGAAATATTTATGGAATAGAATAAAACAGAACTGCCATCTGCCTGATTTCTCCTTTTAGAGTAGGAAAACACCACCTGAATAGAGGATAACTGTGAATATAAAATGAAGCAATTAAAAGAAGCAATTAGGATCACTTGAACCCAGGAGTTCGAGACCAGCCTGAGCAACATAATGAGACCCCAACTCACAAAAATAATTTTTTAAATCAGCCAGGTGTGGTGGTGCGCACCTGTAGTCCCAGCTACTCAGGAGGAGGCTGAGGTGGGAGGATTGCTTGCTTGAGGAGGAAGGATTTCTTGAGCCTGGAAGGTCAAGGCTGCAGTGAGCCATGATTGTGCCACTGCACTCCAGCCTGGGTGACAGAGCAAGACCCTGTCTCAAAAAGAAAAAAGAAGCAATTATTCTTTCTTTGGGTGAAAACTGTGTATTCTATACTGGACTCTTACATGTTAGTTTGTCATTTTAGCAGTGGTCCCAAAGAAATATGAGTTTCCTCTTTCAGAGCAGGGGTTAGCTCTCAAAAGTAGGACCTAGGTTCCTCAGTGGATCTTCTGGATTTGAGGAGAAAGTTTGGAAGTGCTTGGGACCATAGGTACAGGTCTGACTTGAGGACAGTAAACCAAGACAGGGAAGCAGCAAATGCTGTAGGGCGGGGAGAGGGGAGGAAAAGAGGACGCAGGAAAAACAAGCATAAACCACGAGAGCGGAGTCAGTGATTTAGCAGGATCCAAAGTTTATATTGAGAAGATTTCCCTGGTTTTGGTTTTGGACAGATTATGTAGGGGTTTGGGGATGCTTAAATAATTATATGGTTCCATTTCCTTTTCATGATCTCACATTTTTCAAAAGAATGTTTTATGTGTGTCTTTAGAATTGGTGAATGAATGAATCTTATTTTTTTAATACCTGAGATTGTCACTGAAGTATTGTCACAAAATTTAGGCTTAAAAGTCTGACAATGAATTGACCCTAGGTAAGGTGTAGGGTTTTTGTCTTTTAGAAAGTATCAATCAAGAAAATGCCCAGGAGTCACTGGACACAACACTCTCCTGGAAGCCAAAGGTGTAGGAAGATGCTGAGGCCCAGCATGGTCCCAGCAGTACACATTTTACAAAAGGGAAAGATTTTTTACTTGGCAAAACTTTAGTCCAGCTTCTTAATCTTCTGTTAGCTCCTTCAATGCACTTCATTGTAAAGTCCAGTTTTAGCAAAAAACCCTGCTGAGTCTGTTTAGCAAGAACCCTCAACCTCCATATCTGATCAGGTTCATCATCCTCCACCATCTCCCAGGTGATGTCTGATCCCCCCGGCTTGTCTTACGCAAGAGCCCTGTTAGGCAAGTTTAGCCAGAATCCACCTTACTTCTGATGTTTCCTCTTAGTAATTTTCTATCCACGGACCCCCACACAGTTCCTTGCCTGTGAATTCCTACTCGTTCCTGCTCTATTCAGAGTTGAGCCTAATTGCTCTCCCCGACTGCAAGCCCTCATTGCAGTGGTCCCTACACCTATGGCAATGGTCTTGAATAAATTCTTCCTTACCATGCTGTTAAAAAGAGAAAGAGAGAAAAGAAAACAGAGCTGAATATACTGAGAATATTGCTTAATATACGGCAACCTCTGTGTAACTGTTCTCACTTCCTTTTAACAGATTTCCTCACTATTAGCATAACTTTGGGCTGATCAAAACAGTAGCCGCTTGTAGCTATTTAGTCCCTGAAGTATGGCCAGCCCAATTCAAGAAGTACCATAAGTATAAAATACATAAAAATTTTCAAAGATTTAGTTCAAAAAATAAATTCTTAATAATTTTTAATATTGATTGCATGTTGAAGTGACAATATTATGTATATATTGGGTTAGAGAAAATGTTATTTAAGTTAACTTTATGTTTCTTTATCTTTTTTAATGAGGCTACTAAAACATTTTGAATCTCAAAAGTAGCTAACACTATATTTACATTGTACAGTGCTACTTTGACCTCTTCACAGATGCAGATTATTTTGCCTATAATTATACTATATTATCACAGCATGATTACAATTATTGTAACCTGCTAAAATGTTTAAAACTATGTTTATATAGAAATCCTTGGCTTCTTAAAAACTTCTACACAGGAGTAGAATGGGAATACCGGGTGCAGTTCAAACAATATATTATTTTAGCACCCATTTAAACAAATTGTTGAATATTTTGGAAATTCACAATATGACATAAAATAGTCCAATTATTGTCACATGGTTTCTTAGCAATTACTTCCTTAAAGAGCACCCAGTTGCAGGCCAGAAAAATTATAAATTCTGACTCGGTGGCCTTTATATAGCATGAATGAATTAGAAACTAGATATTTTATAATAACTGTCTCTAAGAAAAATGAAATTTGGGTTCCTATAGCAGCAAATTTTTGAGAAATTAAAGAAATAATGTTAAAATAATAAATTTTTATTTAATAAGCTTTTAGATACTGTTTTAGTAAATTGATATCCACATGAATGGCATTTCAAGGTTGCTGTAAGCACTTGGGTGAAGAAAAAATTAGAATCTCGTATATTTGTTCATTAGAGATAGTGATATGGTTAGGCTTTGTGTCCCCACCCAAATCTAATCTTAAATTATAATCCCCATAATTTTTATGTGTCAAGGAAGAGACCAGATAGAGTTAATTGAATCATGGGGGAAGTTTCGCCCATGCTATTCTCATGATAGTGAATGAGTTCTCATGAAATCTGATGGTTTTAAAAGGGGCTCTTCATCCTTCACTTGGCACTTGTCCTTCCTGTTGCCTTGTGAAGAAGGTACCTTGCTTTGCCTCCATCTTCCGCCATGATTGTAAGTTTCCTGAGGCTTCACCAGCCATGCTGAACTGTGAGTCAATATTTTAAACCTCTTTCCTTTATAAATTACCCAGTCTCAGGCAGTTCTTTATAGGAGTATGAAAACAAAATAATACAGTAAATTGGTACCAAGAAAGTGGAGCATAGCTTTAAAGATACTTGAAAATGTGGATGCAACTTTGGAACTGAGTAACAGGCAGAGGTTGGAAGAGTTTGGAGGGCTCAAAGGAAGACAGGAACATGTGGGAAAGTTTGGAACTTCCTAGAGACTTGTTGAAGGGCTTTGACCAAAATGCTGTTAGTAATATGGACAATGAAGTCCAGGCTGAAGTGGTCTCAGATGGAGATGAGGAACTTGTTGGGAAGTGGAGCAAAAGTGACTCTTGCTATGCTATAGCAAAGAGACTGGCAGCATTTTGTCCCTGCCCTGTAGATCTGTGGAACTTTAAATTTGAGAGAGATGATTTAAGGTAACTGGCAGAAGAAATTTCTAAGCAGCAAAGCATTCAAGAGGTGACTTGGGTCCTCTTTTTTTTTTTTTTTTTTTTTTTGGAGTTTTGCTCTGTTGCCCAGGCTGAAGTGCAGTGGTGCCATCTCAGCTCACTGCAACCTCTGTCTCCCAGGTTCAAGCAATTCTCCTGCCTCAGTCTCCTGAGTAGCTAGGATTACAGGCACCTGCTACCACACCCAGCTAATTTTTGTATTCTCAGTAGAGACAAGGTTTCATCACATTGGCTAGGCTGGCCTTGTACTCCTGGCCTCAACCAATCCACCCCCCTCAGCCTCCCAAAATGCTGGGATTACAGGCATGAGCCACCGTGCCCAGCTGACTTGGGTGCTCTTAAAAGTGTCCAGTTTTATGCATTCACAAAGAGATGGTTTGGAATTGGAACTTATATTTAAAAGGGTGTTGAGAGCAGGCCCCCCAAAATCTGGCCATAAACTGGCCTCAAAACTGGCAATAAACAAAATCTCTGCAGCACTGTAACATGTTCATAATGGCCCTAACACCCACGCTGGAAGGTTTTGGGTTTACTGGAATGAGGGCAAGGAACACCTGGCCCGCCCAGGGCAGAAAACCGCTTAAAGGCATTCTTAAGCCACAAACAATAGCATGAGCGATCTGTGCCTTAAGGACGTGCTCCTGCTACAGTTAACTAGCCCAACCTATTCCTTTAATTCGGCCCATCCCTTCTTTTCCCATAAGGGATACTTTTAGTTAATTTAATATCTATAGAAACAATGTTAGTGACTGGTTTGCCATTAATAAATATGTGGGTAAATCTCTGTTCGGGGCTCTCAGCTCTGAAGGCTGTGAGATCCCTGATTTCCCACTTCATACCTCTATATTTCTATGTGTGTGTGTCTTTAATTCCTCTAGTGCTGCTGGGTTAGGGTCTCCCCAACCGAGCTGGTCTCAGCAAAGGGAAGCAGAGCATAAAAGGTTGAGAAATTTGAAGTGTGATGATACTATAGAAAAAAAAATCTGAGGAGAAATCCAAGCCACTGCAGAAATTTGCATGAGTAACAAGGAGCCAAATGTTCATGGCCAATACAATGGGGAAAATGTTTCCAGGACAGATCTTCACTGTAGCCCCTCTCGTCACAGGCCAGGAGGCTCAGGAGTAAAAAGTGATTTCATGGGCCAGGCCCAGGGACTTGCTGCTTTGTGCAGTCTTGAGACTTGGTTCCCTGTGTCCAAGCTGTAGCTAAAAGGGGCCAACATAAAGCTCAGGCCATTGCTTCAGAGGGTGCAAGCCCCAAGTCTTGCCAGCTTACAAATGATATTGGGCCTGTGGGTGCACAGAAGTCAAAAATTGAGTTTTGGGAACCTCTGCCTAGATTTCAGAGGATGTATGGAAATGCCTGGATTTCCAGGTAGAGGTGTGATACAGGGGTGAAGCCCTCATGGAGAACCTCTGCTAGGGCATTGTGGAAGGGAAATGTGGGGTCAGAGTCCCCACTGGGGCACTGCTTAGTGGAGTGGTGAGAAGAGGGCCACCATCCTCCAGACCCCAGAATGGTAGATCCACTGACAGCTTGCACTGTGTGCCTGGAAAAGCCACAGACACTCAACACCAGCCATGAAAACAGCTAGGGCTGGGGCTTGTACCCAGCCACAGGGGTGGAGCTGCCCAAAGTTGTGGGAGCCCATCTTTCACATCAGTGTGACCAGGATGTGAGACATGAAGTCAAAGAAGACTATTTTGGAGCTTTAAGATTTGACTTCCCCACTGGATTTCAGACTTGAATGGGGCCTGTAGCCCCTTTGTTTTGGCCAATTTATCCCATTTAAATGGGTGTATTTATCCAATGGCTGTGCCCCCAGTGTATCTAGGAAGTAACTAACTTGCTTTTGATTTTACCAGCTCATAGGTGGAAGGGACTTGCCTTGTCTCAGATGAGACTTTGGACTTGGACTTTTTAGTTAATGCTGGAACGGGTAAGACTTTGGAAGACTGTTGGGAAGGCATGATTAGTTTTGAAATGTGAAAAGGACATGAGATTTTGGAGGGGTCAGGGCAGAATGATATGGTTAGGCTTTGTATTTCCAACCAAATCTCATATTTAATTGTAATCCCCATAATCCCCACGTGTCAAGGGAGAGACCAGGTGGACGTAATTGAATCATGGGGACAGTTTTCCCTATGTTGTTCTGGTGATGGTGAGTGAGTTCTCACAAGATCTGATGGTTTTATAAGGGGCTGTTTCTCCTTCACTAGACACTTCTCCTTCCTGCTGCCTTGTGAAGAAGGTACCTTGCTTCCACTTTGCCTTCTGCCATGATAGTAAGTTTCCTGATGCCTCCTCAGCCATGCTGAACTATGAGTCAATTAAACCACTTTTTTTAAATAAATTACCCAGTCTCAGGCAGTTCTTTATAACAGTATGAAAATTGACTAACACAGAGAGTGACCTTCAAAACTCCCTTTATTTACTAAATATATTTCCATATATGTGGTAGCTTTCTTTTTAATTTCTGCTGTCAACAGTCTGAAAACCACTGACATCAGTTAACCTCAATCATTAGATAAGTAATCTGCATTAAGCACTTCATAATACATTTTCATATTAAATGCAGGATTCATTTTCTTCCTCCATCAGTATTAATAGGCCACCCACTCCAATTAAATGCAATAATCAAGAAGTATTTCTAAGCAGTAGTGTATATCTCTCTTCAACAGAGATATAATGATATCTCTTCCTGTGTCATCTGAAAAGGCTTAGATGGAATAAGAAGCTATTCTGTCATGGTTAAAAATGGAAGTTAAGTCTGAGAGGAGTGCAAGAGTGAAGATACTAGTGAGACAAAATAACAAGTGCAGGGACCATTTCAAAGTAAAGCAATCATTAGAAGTGCAGAATAAAAGAAGGCACACTTGTCTTTTTTAAAAAGGGAATGAAAAAGCTTGTGTTCTCAGAGATGAGTTCTTTAACCCCAGACAGCTATGAGCAATTTGTCAACCACTCTGAAGTGCAGTGTGGAGTCAACCCCAGGGTCTCAGCCACATGCTTTGGGTACTGGTTTCCATGAGGCTAAAAGCACAAGAGGATATTCTGTCTCAAGGACATCCTAGCTCTCATTGCAGTCCAAAGAATATCAAAACAACTTAAAAGTAATTCTTACAAATTAAATAAGCTATATTAATAGGCACGCTGGGTGGAAGGGAAAAAACAGATCAGCAAAAGCTACCAAATAAAAGTGTCTACAGAGCATGGTGCAAAAATCACTGCCTTTTGCCATGGCTCTGAATCCTGGCTTCACAATTTACCTTATCACCTTGGGCATTCTTTTCACCTCTATGAACCTCAGTTTTATATTCTATAAAATGAAAGTAACGTACAGTTTGTCCTCCATATTTGTGGGTTTGCCATCTGTGGATTCAACCAACCACAGATTGACAATATTTGGGAAAAAAAGAATTCCACAAAGTTCCAGAAAGCAAAACTTGAGTTTACCTCATACCAAGTACTACAATGAATCCATGGGAATGAAGTGATGTATAGGCATTGTATTAGGTATTATAAGTAATCTAGAGATGGTTTAAAGTACGAGAGAATATGTGTAGGTTATATGCAAATATTGTGTCATTTTGTATAAGAGACTTGAGCATCGGCAGATTCTGATATCCAACAGAGGTCCTGGAACAAATCCCCCATGAATACCAAGAGATTATTGTACCTAGGATTTAAAGAAATCATGCTACTTAAAGTTTCTAGACTATAATAGGTTCTCTTCTTTTTTTTTCGAGAGGAAGTCTTGCTCTGTCACCCAGGCTGGAGTGCAGTGGTGCAGTCTCAGCTCACTTCAACCTCGGGGTTTAAGTGACTCTCCTGCCTCAGCCTCCCGAGCAGCTGGGACTACAGGCACACCCCATCACACCCAGCTAATTTTTGTATTTTTAGTAGAGGTGGGTTTTCACCATGTTGGCCAGGCTGATTTCAAACTCCTGACCTCAAGTGATCCACCCGCCTCAGCCTTTCAAAGTGCTGGGATTACAGGCATGAGCCACAGTGCCTGGCCACTAGACTATAATAGGTTCTTAATGTATTTATTAGTATCTTGCTACAAAAGGAAACCATATCAATAAATACATTGATTAAGAACTTAGGGGATTGCTTTGCATTCACTCTGACAATCTTTGTGATTTGGTATAGGAGAAATATAATCATCTAGAAACTTTCTGGGCTTGTTCTTTGCTCCTCATGTTTCCTTCAATGCCAGTCAGACAAGGACCTGGAACTGGCAGAGCTAGTCAGGAAGGTCAATGTGATCCCTCAGTTCCAATCTTCCTCACTACGTATCTTGACCAGTCATAGACTTGTCTTCTGCTGTGGTTTCTACGCTGTAATTTTTCTAATCTGGAGTTCTGGTTTCAGCTTCCACTCTCACCCACAGTGAGAAGAGCTACTGACCCACTTTTCTGGCCAGTCCTTCTTGTGAATTATTCTTTTGTCCAGCATATTCACAGTTACACTTGACTGGCTCCCTAATTACTTAGTAACAGGATCTCTTATCAGATCATCTGTCATGGTATCCCAGTGCTTGTGTTCCAGTAATCCTTATTTTACATGCTAACGGCCCCAAACTACAAGAGCAGTGATGCTAGCAATTCAAATATAAGAGGAGCTAAAAAATGTTTCCTGTAAGTATTCATTAATAAATATATATATATATATATAAAATGTTCTGAGATTGCTAAGATTTATTGTAAGAGCAAATCTTCTATCCATTAAACTGTGAAGAACAAAAAATAAATTTGTGCTGTTGTACTTCAAACTGCAAAAGTTATAGCCACAGTGCATAATAAGTGCTTGGTTAAGATGCAAAAGTCATTACATTTGTCATTGGAAGACATTAACAGAAATGTGTTCTGATTTACAGCAACTGGGTTTGGTACCATCTGAGATTTCAGGCACCCACTGGTGTTCTTAGAATCCCTTCTGGTTATGGGGGAACTACTATATGAGCAAAAGTCCGAAGTATCCACTGGACTCCAAGCTCCTGGTGGAAACCCATATTGGTCCATTTTCATACTGTGTAAAGAACTGTGAAAGACTGGGTAATTTATAAAGGAAAGAGATTTAGCTGACTTACAGTTCAGCATGGCTGGAGAAACTTATAATCATGGCAGAAGGCAAAGGGGAAGCAAGGCACATTGTTCACAGGGTGGCAGGAAGGAGAAGTGCCTAGCAAAGGAGAAAGAGCCTCTTATAAAACCATCAGATCTCATGGGAAATCACTCACTATCAAGAGAACAGCATGGGGGAAACCGCCCCCATGATTCAATTACCTTCACTGGGTCCCTCCCTTGACACATGGAGATTACGGGGATTATAATTCAAGATAAGATTTTGAGGGGACGCAAAGCCTAACCATATCAGAATCCCAGAGCAGTGTCTGGCTTCAACCACAGGTAAGCTAGCTACACCCTTAGAATGCTGGGCTTCACTTCAGCCTTACTTCTGGTGCCAGTTCTGTTGCCCCCGGTTCCACCTAACTCCAATACCTACCCTGTTCATCCAATCCTATCGAGGATAGCCAGCCTTAGAAAATGAAGCTCCAGAACACATACTATATTTACTTCAGTTTTTGTTATAAAAGAAGGGGGGCGGTGTTTAAGAATAGCAATGAAAAAAAAATGCCTTCCTTTATAACTCTGGGTTACATGGCTAAAAATTTGCTAGCAGTGAGGAATTAGTCTGTAAGAAAGTTACAAAGATAGACATCTAACGGAATCTAGTGACATAGCACAAAAGCATAATTGTTGCTAATTTATGAGTTTGAGGCCCTTTCTCTTTTCAGCCAGGAAAAACAGTCTCACCAATTTCTGACCCCCTCGCATCCCAATGTGATTGTTCTGTATCTTCTTTGAAAATGTCAGTAAAATGCTGTAAACTCTTTGTTATATGGAATTGTGTGGAAACTGGATGTGCTGATTCATCTAAAAATTTATAAGCATTTTCTAAATGTAAATGTGACAAAATGAGGACAAAACCACCTTGGAGTACCTTATACTTTCTCTGATTCTAACAGCCCTGCAAAAGCTCTTAAAGCTCCACAGTTGGTATTGAATGTCTCCATTATTATTGTGCTATTGGGAGGCACACATATCAGTTTATCAAGAGTTCTTAGGGCCGGGCATGGTGGCTCCTACCTGTAATCCCAGCACTTTGGGAGGCTGAGGCGGGCGGACCACCTGAGGTCAGGAGTTCTAGACCAGCCTGGCCAACGTGGCAAAACCCCGTCTCTACTAAAAATACAAAAGAAATTAGTCAGGTGTGGTGGCAGGCGCCTGTAATCCAGCTACTAGGCTGAGGCAGGAGAATCGCTTGAACCCAGGAGGCGGAGGTTACAGTGAGCGGAGATCACGCCATTGCACTCCAGCCTGGGCAAAAAGAGCGCAACTCCATCTCAAAAGAAAAAAAAAAAGAGTTCTCATTGCTGGAATGTCAAGAAACAACAGCTATATTGTAGTTTTGACTGTGTTTTTTTTAATGTCACCATCTTTACAAGACATATGGTAACATTCCTCAAGTTATCCAAACAAAGTCTGATACTGATTAAATACTAAAGTTCCTTATAATTAATGTTCATGAAGGGTGTGGATAAATGATATACATAGTGTGTTCTATGAAAACAAAATCAACAATTTAAGAGGTCTTACTTTTTTTTTTTATTTTGTGTTTTGTTTTGCTTTATTGTCTCCATAGGTTAAATTCTTCCCCTCTATGATTTTTATCATAGTTATGCATGAATAACTATGGGTGGAAACTGGCTTAGTGGAGGAGGGGAGTTATCAAAGGAAATCGAGTAAGCTATATTGACTTATTTCATTTTAATCTTATTATCTGAAACCTCAAATAGGTAATCAATAGGACCCTAAAATTTCTTCTGGGTTTCTGTAGAATGTTGTCTCTCAAACTCCCAAGAAAAGCCTTTCAGACCTTCTCTTTTTAAACCTTCCTCACCCTTCCTTCACTGTCAGCTGCTGAGCGTACCTCATACATCACTCACAGAATTCCCTCCTCTGGGTAAATTTCCCCACCTGACCTTCAGACTCCATGCAGGGACTCCCAGCCTCTCCTTCTTCCTTCTGACCTTGTGAAAGGCCAACCCCTCCTCGTGTGCCTGGATTCCATTCCCTCTCTCCTTCACAGGAATGCTGTTCCTTCATTAACTGCCCTATCTCTGTCCTCACAAGCCTTTCCCTTTCTACCAGCTTATTTCCGTTAGTATAAGAACTTGTCCTAGTGACTCTTTGCTAAAAAACAAACAATCTTGCCCCCCAAAACCCTCCCTTATCTCTGATCTTGGTCTTCAAATCCTCTCCATTCCTGGGCTCCTCTCCTCTCAGTTGCTGATGAGAAATTAGAAGGTAATAACAGGATGATAAACCTCATCAAATTTTGCTGCTCTCCTTCATAACTAAATTTTCTTCTCTTTCCCGCCTCCTTCCATCTGCTTACACACTCACTACCCTACTGAACCTGCCCAATTAGTATAGGTCTCCTTATTGCCAAAACAAATAATGGCCATGGCAAAATATATGACTTCTGTTGATGAAAAGAGTCAAACTGTTTAAAATATTTGAAGAGATTTATCCTGAGCCAAATATGAGTGACCAATGGCCCATGACAGACCTCAGGAGATCCTGAGAAAATGTGCCCAAAGTGGTTGGGGTGCAGCCTAGTTTTATACATTTAGGGAGACATGAGACATCAATCAAATACATGTAAGATGTAACATTGGTTTAGTCTGGAAAGGTAGGACAAATCGAAGGGGCAGGAGGGGCTCCCCAGGTTTTAGGTAAATTTTAAAAAGTTCTGATTAGCAATTAGTTGAAAGAGTTAATAAAAAGGAATGTCTGGGTTATAATAAGGGGTTGTAGTGACCAAAATTTTATCATGCAGATGAAGTGTCCAGGTACCAGGCTTCAGATAATAGATTGTAAATGATTTTTTGTTTGTTTGTTCGTTTGTTTTCTTTTTTGAGACAGAATCTTGCTGTGTTGCCCAGGCTGGAGTCAGTGGTGTGATCTTGGCTCACTGCAACTTCCACCTCCTGGGTCAGCCTCTAGAGTAGCTGGGACTACAGGCACGTGCCACCACATGTGGCTAATTTTTGTATTTTTAGTAAAGACAGGGTTTCACCATATTGGCCAAGCTGGTCTCAAACACCTGACCTCGTGATCTGCCCACCTCAACCTCCCAAAGTGATGGGATTACAGATGTGAGACACCATGCCCAGCCCTTGTAAACGTTTCTTATCAGACTTAAGGTCTGTGTTGATGTTAAATGCTGATCTTTCATGAATTACGAAAGGGAGTAGGGTAAAATGAGGCATGTCTGACCCTCCCTTCCTGTCTTGGCCTGAACCAATTTTTCAGGTTTGGAATGCCGTCGCTGACAGGAGGTGTTCATTCAGATGGTTGGGGGCCATAGAATTTAATTTTTGGTTTACACTTCCTTTTGGTTTACATTTCCTCACCTCCTGACCTAGGTCACTGTAGCACAAAGGCTTCCCTGTCCTTTGTGGGGTTTTTTAATTTTGTTTTTTAGTTGCTTTTTAAAACAACAATTTATTACTTTCTTTTGCAGTTCTGGGGCTAATGGGCTCAACTAGGCAGTCCTTGTTCACCATACTTCGTAAAGTTGTAGGCAAATCATGTCTGTGGCTGGAGTCACACGAAGGCTTCTTTACTCATACTTTTGGTGACTGGGCTAGGATGGCAGGGACAGTTAGGGGTTGGTGGGCATCTCTCTCCCTCCCCCGGCCATCTCCATCTATAACACTCTCCCCTCCAGTGTCCCCAGGTGCCTTCTCCACATAGCTAGCTTGGGCTTCCTCATAGCCCTGGCAGTCTCAGGATAGCTAGGCTTCTAACATGGCAGTTGACTTCCAAGTTGCCTGAATAGAAGCTGCCAGCCTTTTGCTGAGCTAGCATCCCAAGTCTAAGAATGTCACCATATCACACACTGTTGGCCAAGCAGGTCACTGAAGTTGAGAGAAGGGGAGTTAGAAATTACCTCCCAAAGAGTCTCCTGCCTCTTCCCGCAGTGGGGCTGCTCTTCATTCCAGATATCTGCAGGTTTCACTCCGTGCCACCCCAACACTATTTAAAATGATTCACCCACCTGTGCTCTCCTCCTCCTCTTTCTGTATTTATTTCTCTCCACAATGCTTATCCCTTCTTCCTGCTTATTGTCCAGTTCCCTCTCCTGATGTGGACAGAGATTTTTGTTCATGATAATATGCCAGCACCTAGCAGTGTGTCTGCCACATAGTGGCTGCTCAGTGAATATTTGTTGAATGAAATGCGTCAGGCATACTTCTAAGGCTTTTAGGTGTATAAAGTTATTCAATCCTTGCAAAATGCCTATTGAGGTAAGGAATACTGTTATTCGTGAGTGTTTTTTTGTTTCTTTTTTTGTTTGTTTGTTTGTTTTTTGAGATGGAGTTTCGCTCTTGTTGCCTAGGCTGGAGTGCAATGATGCGATCTCGGCTCACTGCAACCTCCACCTCCCGGGTTCAAGCGATTCTCCTGTTTCAGCCTCCCGAGTGGCTGGGATTACAGGCACATGCCACCACGCCTAGCTAATTTTTGTATTTTTAGTAGATACGAGGTTTCATCATATTGGTCAGGCTGCTGTTGAACTCCTGACCTCAGGTGATCCACCTGCATTGGCCTCCCAAATTGTTGGGATAACAGGCATGAGCCACCGTGCCCGGCATTCATGTTTTAAATGGAGAATCAGAGACACATGGAGGCCTATTTGTTTTGTTCCTAAGCTTGAAAGCCAGGATTCAAACCCAGGCAGCTGGGCTCCACTTTCAAATGCTTCTCAGGTTCAACGATCCCTCTTTGCCTTCATCGTACTCATCTCTCAGCAGCACTGGATGCCACCCACCCCCTCCTCCTTGAAACCACAGACTTCCAAGCTAGTTTTCACCTCACCCTTTGGCTTCTCTCTCTATCCTTTTTCCATGGTGAGTTCATCAGTTCCTAGGAATATGCTGATGAATTCTACTCTCACCATGACATTTCCTGGGAACTTCATGTTCACATACTCAACTTCCTGTTGGACATAGCATATCACAGCAATCTCAATCCTAGTATGTCCACTGCAATCAAAACATGTCCCTTAATCTCTCTTGCCTCAATAAATGACTCCACCACCCATGTGGACACTCAAGCCAGACCGCTAAGAGTCATTCTGATATCTTCCTGTCTCTTATCCCCTAGCCACAATATTCAATCATCAAGCTGTGATGATTCTGTATTCCGGATAATCTGCACACTTCTTTCCATCTCTTCTGTGCCAGCTCAGTTCAGGTTACCTTTGCTGTGTGCCCAACTGCTGAACAACTCTCTGACTATAGCCTGCCTCCACTCTTTTGCCTCCAAACCATTCATACCACAGTGGAGAGCAAGTGAGAGGCTTTCTTCAGATCTAAATTGTATCTTGTTACTCTTCAGTGTAAAAGTCTTCCATGGAGCATGAAATCCAAACCCTATGAGCTTCAGGTCACAGAGCTTATTAAAACTTGCTATTGTTTTATTTACTTTGATTTTCTTATTTGTTTGCTTAGTACTACACTAAAATATAAACCTATGAGAGAAAGATGATTTATTCACTGTTGAGTACCCAGAACTTCTCATCATGACCTGACTGGGAGAGCTCAATAAATATTTTCTGAAAGAGTAATACAAAACTTTAGAATACTATACTTAGTTAGAAAGCACCCCATACATGTTTGAATTTCAAAGTTCATATTGCATTTGTTGGTCTGCTGTAATTATTGGCCACACAGTTAATGTAGTTTAATGAGAATATACACAATTATATATGGACTAACCCAGCCAGTGTAGCCAGCATAGCAGGTGACCTATGATACTTTCTTCTGCCCAAACTGAAAACATTTATTTTCAAACAGGAAAATATTGATTATCAGAGTTTTGTGAAAATATTAATTTATCATAGTATTATGTGTTTCCCTGCCAATATTTAATGTTTGATATCAATGAAAAATCCAAAATGACTTATAAGGAGCAAATTAAATACAAATATCCACATAGAAAGATAGCAAAATACCAAGCAGTACTAATGCATGCAGGTATAAGTGATAGAGATATGTACATAAAATTGAGAATTTTTTTTTTTTGAGACAGAGTTTCACTCTTGCCTCAGCCTCCCAAGTAGCTAGAATTACAGGCATGTGCCACCATGCCCGGGTAATTTTTGTATTTTTAGTAGAGACGGGGTTTCACCATAGGCGTGAGACATTGCGCCCGGCTGAGAAAATTTTTTATTTGAACTAAATTCAAAATACTGAAAGATAGAGTTAACTTTAGGCAAGATACTGGGATCTGAAGAAAAAAACATGACTGCCAAGAGTAACATGATTTACAAAATGGGGATTTGCCCCTACCTAGAAACATTGATAAGTACAAAAGGTATAAAGTGAAATGGGATGCATATTGGAGTGAAAGGAAAATAAATTCTGGGACACTCAAATCACTTAGCCAAAGAGAAAAGTCAAGCTGGGAACTACGTAGGGCAAACCTGCCTCCTAGATTATCCATGCCTAAAATAGATAGCCACTAAAATAAAAAAAAAAGCCACATACCTCCCTCACAAGAAATTTCCTTCTGGACAAAGGACAGACAAAACTCAAAGTCATCCCTCTGTTCACTGAGATAAATGCATGTGTGTGGTCTCCTTTGGAAAGACTAATTAGAAACTCAAAAGATGGGTACACGGTACACTGCTCAGGTGATGGGTGAACCAGAATCTCAGAAACCAGCATTAGAGAACTTATCCATGGAATCAAAAGCCACCTGCACCCCCAAAACTATTGAAATAAAAATAAAAATAATTCTTAAAAGAAAAAAAAGAAGAAACTCAGAAGAATGCAACTGTTTGTCTCTTACTTACCTATGACCTAGAAACGCCTGACCGACTTCAAGTTTCCTGCCTTTCCAGATGGAGCCAACATATACCTTGCCTATATTGATTGGTGTTTCATGTCTTCCTAAAATGTATAAAACCAAGCTGTGCCCCAACCACCTTGAGCACATGTCGTCAGGACCTCCTGAGGCTGTATCACAGGCGTATGTCCTTTACTTTTTGGCAAAATAAACATCCTAAATTGACTGAGACCTGTCTCAGATATTTGGGGTTCACACTGGATACTTTATATACATTCATCCACACAGGCAGTTGTATAAGCAATATTATCCTTGACCAGAAAGACAATGTCAGCTACTTTTTATCTGTCATATTGGATTCAGTAAGTATGGTTTGGTCCTTCACAAAACAGTAAACTCTCTTGTTTCTAGGTTGTACCCCAAAGTCCTTGAGGCTCAATAAGTTTACGTTGTTTTTTTCGTTTTTCAAAACCACATTATGAAGTAGAACAGTACTTCCTTTTGTTCTCTACAGTGGTGATTTCTTGCAAGGGTTATCCATCACTGGGTCTGTCTGGATTGATGTACAATGGTTATAGTCTGAAATTCTCTGAGAAGTAGACATTATTTCCATATTGTGGTCTACACTGGATTCCAATTGTTAGTTTTTATTTGCTTACAAGTTATTTCTCCTGACAAAGGCTATATTTAGCTGAACTATGTGATTTGATTTGCAAATCCTACTCCCTCACACACACATATTTAAGTAATTGTTTCAAACAAAGGTTCACCCTCATCCACTTTGTAAGGCAGGCTGAAGGTATAAGTAAAGTGGGTGTAGCTGTGTTTGTTTCTGCACTTTAAGAAGTCCTTTAATATGAATAGTTAAGCAAATTCCTGTAGGTGAAAAGTATTCCTATCATCTGGCTTATGTGTTTGATTTCCTTACAGTGCAAATAGACAAAGCCCTTCAGAAAGCCACCCACACAGAGTAAAACTGCTATGATAGGGTTCATTGCTTCTTTTGTTGTTGTTTCAGTGAAAATGATTCCAAAAGATGGGCATAAGCTAAATACAACTCCCCAGTAAATGAAAGTGTGCCATCATGCTAATTGGAACAAACCTGTAGCACAGTTTAAACCAGCAGAAAAGCTGTTCAGTGCAGCATCCCTGAACCTAAAGTCAGAAGATGAGGGAGTCTGGCCCGAGTCCTCCCCTTTGCTTGCTGAGTGGCACTGCTTAAATAGCTTAACTTCTCTGAGTCTCCTTTGTGAAACTGGGTTATACTTAATGACCTTTATTGTTCCATGTAGCTACTTTCTAAATTCAACAATCAAAACGTTTTAATTACATTCTCTCTTTACATATTGATATATTCTTGGGTACTGGGTTTCAAGATGTGTATACTTCTTAGTGAGCAGAATAAGCATATTATATATATCGGGGTTTTTTTCTCCTTTAATCACATTCCATTTGTTACCCTCAATACCTTAATTTTTTGTCATCCAAGTTGCTGCTTTTTCTTGCTATATTGTATTAGTTTGCTAGGACTGCTGTAACAAAATACCACAGAATGAGTGGCTCTAACAATTGAAATTTGTTCTCACAGTTCTGAAGTCCAAGATCAAGGTGCCAGCAGGGCTGGTTTCCCCTGACACCTCTCTCCTTGACTTGTGGATGCTCTTCATATGGCCATCCCTCAGAGCACCCTTACCCCTCGTATTTTTCTGTGTGTCCAAATTTTCTCTTGTTATAAGGACACCAGTCATATTGGATTAGGGACCAACCGTATTACCTCTTTTTACCTCTTCAAAGTCCCTATCTACAAATACAGTCACATTCTGAGTTACTGGGGGTTAGGTCTTCAACACATTGAGTTTTAGGGAGACAGAATCAGTCCATAACATATGTAATCTTTTAAAAAATTATTACTTTTTATCTTATTTATTTTTAAAATTTTATTTATTTAAAAATTGCATTTTAGTAAAGATGGAGTCTTGTTATGTTGACCAGGGCTGATCTCGAACTCTTGGGCTCAAGATATCCTCCTGCCTCAGTCTCCCAAAGTGCTGGGATTATAGGTATGAGCCACTGCACCAGGCTTATAGCATATATATTCTAAGTCTTCTTTATATTAATATAGACTTTATCAAATAACATTTTAGCATCATTTAAAAATATTTTATACTTTCAATATAATAATCAACATATACTTCTTCTAAACAGACTTTAAATAGTCATCATAATTTTAATTACATGAATCAATGCTTATAAGTCTTCATGAATCCTCCTAGTAGATATGTTCATTTTTTTATACTACAATATTTTCATAATTTATTCTTCCTTCCTTATGATACCTGAAAAAGAAATTTATTAATAGCTAGTCACTTATAAACCAGCATCCCAGAATTCCTGGTATCACCTCTAGTATGACATAATCATATGCTCCCAATGGGTGCCTAATAAACACTTGTTAGATTAATTAATTTGATTCTTTTGACTTATAGGAGACTAAAGGCCAGGAAAAATAGAGATCAGTATCTAGGAATCAAACTACTATTCACTGCATAGCACAAAGTAACAATTCTCAAAAATTTTACAGCAACAAATGGGGAGGATAATGCTCACTGGTACATGTCCCTCTTCTTGGTGGAAGCACAGTTAAAGACCTCACTATTGGCTGAGTGCAGTAGCTCATGCCTGTAATCCCAACACTTTGGAAGGCCAAGGTGGGTGGCTCACCTGACATCATGACATCAAGGCCAGCCTGGCCAACATGGTGAAACCCTTTCTCTACTAAAAATACAAAAATTAGCCAGGTATGATAAAGAGTGCCTGTAGTCTCAGCTACTCCGGAGGCTGAGGCAGGAGAATTGCTTGAACCTGGGAGGTGGAGGTTGCAGTGAGCCGAGATCGCACCACTGCACTCCAGCCTGGGTGACAGAGCAAGATTCTGTCAAAAACAAAACAAAACAAAATGACAACAACAAAAAACCTCACTCTCTTGATGTGGCCTTGTCTTCTGCACATATAAACCATGTTTCCATCAGGGAAAATTATGGACATATAAGAGAATTGTGAAGGCAGTTTTTAGGATCTCCACAGGAATTGTTAACAGTGTTAGTGTCTCCCTCCAGGGTTTTCCTGGCCTTTCAGCGATTTGGTGAGCTTGGCTAGAATAGCCTGGTCTAACCCTGCAGAGACCCACTCAACCTCATCACTAGACAGGAGTGAAAACCAGAGTCAGTACTCTTACTGATGTCAGAATCAAATTGGAGAGAGATTCTGGAGTCCGACATGTAAGAAAACATTTAAGAAATCCTATACCTCAACACACAATGCTCAAGAAGTTGGGAGATTCCAAGAACAATTTCACTCAGAGGTTGGCGGTATTTGGCAAAGAATGACAGCAGTCTTGCACTGAGTACTTTACAGAGCACAGACCCACACTGCTTCAGCTCACTTCATCTCCTCAGATTCCCGAGAGAGGAGGCTCAGGAACTCTTACCATGTCCATTTGACAGAGGATGAAGCTAAGGCTCAAAGAAGGTAAGGATTACATGTGGTAAATTCAAAGTCACAGTGAATAGTTGAGTAATTGAGGAGGATGCAAACCTAAGTCTGATGACTTCCTGTTTTGCAGTGTTTTCCCTAAGTTACACCTCCTTCCCTGGGTGTCAAGCAGGAACTTGATATGTTTTGCTAATCAGTGAATCACCACCTTGCAACCATGTGTACGGCAACTGGATGTCTTTTTTCTGGGATGATATTATCTAAACTGTTAGAGCAGATAACCTTGTGCAATCTCAATAAGACACCATGGTAAAATTTCAGAAAATTGCATTGCCTTAGAGATACGGGCAGATTTTTTCAGAGCAATTGAATGTATTCAAAGATGTCTTAATTAAAATAAGAATAGATAATGTTAAATGTCCATTCCCTGGAAGTAGAATAACAGGAATGTCAACTGTAAGCCACACATTTTTATATAGTCTGGTAAACTAGCAAAAAAACAAAACAAAACAAACAAACCATAAAAACCCAAAAAACAAAAAAAGTCTTGGTGTGGACAGAAACAAATAAAATAATTACCGAGTCTTTTGACTATCATCTCCCTAATGCCTAACCCAATGCCTGGAAACAGTAAGAGACCAACAATGTATTGGCTGAGGTAAGTTTATGAGTTAAGGACTTCCTAAAGTAAAGGCCTCTTCAAAAGGTTTCCCCGCTTTCACCTTTGCCCTGCTTCAGTCTCTTCACACCCTGCAGCCAAGTAATCCTTGAAGAATATAAACCAGAGCTTGTAGTTAGCATAACTCTCCAATGACTCCCATTCTCTCTCAGAGCAAATGCCAAGGTCCTTGTAACAGTTTACAAGGCCCTGCAAGATTGGCCTCTCTGTGTCTCTTCAAACTCATTTCCTACTCTCAGCTTTATTTACACCCCTTCATCCACTCTGCCTTTTGCTGTTCCTCCAACATGCCAAATGCCAGAGGCATAGTCACCCAGGGGCCTTTGTCCCTGAGCTGCTCATCCTCAAGATATTACCCACTGTTCACCTTCTTCAAGGTACACAATTTATAGCTGAAACCACCCACTCACATGCTTTCTATTTACCCTCCTAGTTTACTTTGTTCTGTAATACTTAAGACTTTCTACTTCATTATTTATTTATTTTGTTTACTGTCTGTTTTGCCCCACTTGAATGAGAATTCCATGGGGGCAGGAATTTTTGTTCATTTGGTTGTTTTTCCAGTGCCTGGAACATAAGTACTCAGTAAATGCTTGTTGAAAGTAATACAGAGAGGCCGGGAGTGGTGGCTCATGCCTGTAATCCCAGCATTTTGAAGGCCAAGGCAGGCAGATCATGAGTTCAGGAGTTTGAGACCAGCCTGCCCAACATGGTGAAACCCCATCTCTACTAAAAATACAAAAATTAGGCGGGCATGGTGGTGCACACCTGTAATCCCAGCTACTCAGGAGGCTGAGGCAGGAGAATCGCTTGAACCCAGGAGGCAGATGTTGTGGTAAGCCAAGATCACGCCACTGCACTCCAGCCCGGGTGACAGAATGAAACTCTGTCTTAAAAAAAAAAAAAGTATACAGAAAAATGTTCTGAACTCAGTAAGATCACGGCTTTTATAGAGTGCCAAAGGAAAAGTTAATGAAGAGAAAAATAAGAAAAAATGTTTTCAGAATAACCTGGAGAGAAAGTATTCGGGCTTTAAAATAAAACTGGAGCTATATGGAAAAAGAAAGAGTGAGAGAGAAAGAGAGGGAGAAGGAGAGAGGGAAGGAGAAGAGATAGAGAAGGAGGGAGGGAGAAAAGGAGACTTTAAATTAGCTTAACAAGGTGTGGCTGGGAGTGGGCTTACGCCTGTAATCCCAGCACTTTGGGAGGCCGAGACAGGCAGATCACCTGAGGTCAGGAGTTTGAAACTAGCTTGGCCAACATGGTGAAACCTCGTCTCTACTAAAAATAAAAATTAGCCAGGCATGGTGGCACATGCCTGTAATCCCAGCTACTGGGGAGGCTGAGGCAGGATAATCACTTGAACCTCAGAGGCAGAGGCTGCAGTGAGCTGAAATCGTGCCACTGCACTCCAGCCTGTACGACAGAGCGAGACTCTGTCTCAAAAAAACAAAACAAAACAAAAAACAGGGTGCATGCTAAGACACCCCACTTCAAATAGTGTTTTTCGAGGTGTCTCAGCCAGTTCGGGCTACTATAACTGGCTGAGTATCATAGGCTGGGTGGCTTAAACAATTAAAATTTATTTATCACAGTTCTGGAGCCTGAGAAGTCCAAGATCAAAGTGCCTATGGATCCAGTGACTGCCATCTTTTCATTCTACGCTCACATGGTGGAGAGTAGAAGGAGAGGAAGCAAGCTCTTGTCACATGCATCCGTGTGACGAGACCACCAACAGGCTTTGTGTGAGCAACAAGGCTGTTTATTTCACCTGGGTGCAGGTGGGCTGAGTCCGAAAAAGGAGTCAGCAAAGGGTGGTGGGATTATCATTAGTTCTTACAGGTTTGGGATAGGCATACAAAGTACATTCTCAAGGGCAGTGAGAATATTACAAAGTAACTTCTTAAGGGCGGGCAAGAATATATCATATCAGTTAGGGTGGGGCAGGAACAAATCACAATGGTGGAATGTCATCAGTTAAGGCTATTTTCACTTATTTTGTGGATCTCCAGTTGCTTCAGGCCATCTGGATGTATACGTGCAGGTCACAGGGGATATGATAGCTTAGCTTGGGCTCAGAGGCCTGACAGCTCTCACATCTCTCTTCTTATAAGGGCACTGCCTTAGTCCCTTTGGGTTCCTATCACAAAATGCCTGAAACTGGGTAGCATATAAACAACAGAAATTTTCATCGCACACTTCTGGAGGCTGGGAAGTTAAAGATCAAGGCTCTGGCAGATTCGATGTCTCATGAAGGCTCATTTTCTGGTTCATAAATGATGACTTCTCACTGTGTCTTCACATGGTGAAAAGAGGGAGGCAGTTCTCTGGGTTCTCTTTTATAAGGGTACTAATCCCAATTATGAGAGTTAAGTCTCACAAAGACCCCACTTCTCAATATCATCCCCAAAGCCCCACCTCCCAATACCATCATCTTGAGGGCTGGCATTTCAACATATAAACTTGGAGGTTGGGGCGGGGGGCACAAATATTTAGACCATAGCAGGCACTAATCTCAACAATCAGGGCTCTACACTCATGACCTTATTACCTACTAAAGGTCCCACCTCCTAATATGAACATCTTAGGAGTTAGAATTTCAACATATGAATATTTGAGGGACAGAAACATTCAGGCCAAAGCACAGAGTCTTTTCCATGGAGCCTTACAAATCAGGGAAGGAGTCAAATACAGACTTCAGCCCCCAAATCCATATCTGCCCCTCAGTTTTACATCTTCAATATTTTTAGTTTCTGGATAAGATTTTTTCTTTTAAAAAATGCCTTAGATTAAAAATAAACATAAAAGAGTGAAACTACTACCATAAAGTATGTTATACCAGGAAATTCTTGAGAGAGATTTGCTGAAGACTGCTGATAGAAAAGGTCAGGATCACAGAAAGTGGACTATTCTCTGCCTTCTCTCAGCATCTAGGCTTCAGGTTGTAAAGAAGCTTGGGAAAGAGAGCAGAGCTAAAGCAAAGAAAACGAACATGTTCTTTAGGGAAATGTGTAACTGAACTTGGAGTTGAGGTGGTCTGGCTGATGAGCCAGGGCTGGAAGTAGCAACAAAGAAAAGCCCTCTTCCAAAGACCATTCAAACTTTTATTTGTGGAAGTGAGTGTGCTGTGCAGTGAGTTTACAACTTCAGAGGACACCGAGACAAGAACACAAAGGCATTCTTGGAAATAACTCAGAAAACAAGAGTTGAGAATATGTGGAATGTAGTGGGAATACAAAAGCCTTGTAGTTTTTAGTATTGGGAACAGTGGTGTGGCCTCCTTCCGGAGTGATATACATGCTTTCATCCACAGTTCCTGTCTCATAAGTCCCATAGCCTTTGTTATAATGTTGAGATGCCTTAGGCCTCAGAAACAGGCCTCAGAAGACAGGATCTCTCTCTCTCTGACCCTCCCCTGCCCTCCTTTTATGTGCCTGAGGCAGGACTATAATCTGATTTTGGGTCATAAGACCCTCATTCCAGAGAACCTTCTGCCCCATACCCTGGAAGAAGGATTGCTCCACAGACATGCCAAGAAGAATCTGGACAGGCCTTGCTGGGTTTTCCCACTCTGCCTGTTTGTACTAAATTATACCTTTTTGTCCAATCACATTTCTACATGATTGTCAATCATGCTTATCCAATGAAGTCTTCATAAAAGATCCAAGAAGACAGGGTTTGGGGGCTTCTGGATAGCTGAACACGTGGAGGTTTATAAGAAACCAAACAAGAATTTATCCATGTGCCGGGAGGGTGGTGCACCCCAACTCCACAAGGACAAAAGCCTCTGTGTCCAGGATCCTTCCAGACCTCACCCTTGCATCTCTTCATCTGGGTATTTATTTGTATCATTTAAAATATCTTTGTAATAAACTGGTAAATATAAGTTTCCCTGAGTTCTGTGAGCCACTCTAACAAACTAATTGAACCCCAAGAGACGGCTGTAGGAACCCCAGTGGAAGCTGATTGGTCAGAAATTCTGGAGCTTGGACTTGTGACTGGTGTCTGAACTGGGTGGGGGAAGTCTTGGGGACTGAGTCCTCAACCTAGGGATCCAAGGCTATCTCCAGGTAGTGTCAGAATTGAATTAGAGGAAACCCAGCTGGTGTCCTCTGCTTCATGTGTGGGGAAAAACCCACATACATTCGGTCACAGAAGTCTGTGTCAAGGCCAGGTGCAGTGGCTCACGCCTGTAATCCCAACACTTTGGGAGGCTGAGGTGGGCAGATCACTTGGGGTCAGGAGTTCAAGACCAGCCTGGGTAACATGGTGAAACCCTGTCTCTACTCCAAATACAAAAATTAGTTGGGCATAGTGGCGGGCCCCTGTAATCCCAGCTACTCGGGAGGCTGAGGCAGGAGAATCTCTTGAACCCAGGAAGTGGAGGTTGCAATGAGCCGAGATGGCACCATTGCCCTGGGCAACAAGAGTGAAATTCCATCTCCAAAAAAAAAAAAGAAGTATGTGTCAGTTGTTGTAGTGAGAGCAGAAAAAAAACACCCAGTGAGTGTTGTTTTTTCCACATTCCTACTGAGTATGACGAATGGTTGTTGATGGTTATCACTGGAGATTGAAAACTGGGATTCCTTTTTCACCAGGAATTGGTGCCTACCATGGCTGGGGATACACAGTGATGGATTTGTGACTTGCTCCTCTGAAAGCTGGCCCAAGGGTGTACAGCATATGAATGTGGGGGAGTTTACACTACACACGCTCTTGGCTGTAAGTAGTTGAGTTTCATTTTTTAAATTTATTACTAACTGCTTAACTTTAGTTGAAGCCTGAGAATCTTATCTACACTGATATAATTTATGCTGTTAGCATTTCACTTTATGCAGCTCTTAATCCACTCCCATGCCCCAACTTGATGCTTAATTTGGTGTATGTATTGATTTATGTTGTTTTCACAAGAATAATAAATAGAGCTGGCAGTCTGAAGAGAGGACAATAAAGTTGTAAATAAAGGAGGGGAGTAATGCCATTCAACCTTAACTTTATATATTGATATCATTCCACTTTTTCTGCTATATTATAACTGATATTATCAACATGTGTCTATTTTATTGATACTTTTTGCACTGATCTTGCCCTGATTTGGTCATTTTTGGTGAACAATTTTAGAAATAAGAGCATAACATAGAAAAAGGGACATCTGTCGTAGAGATACATTTCCTATAAAGGTGCATACTTATGTGCACATAAAATTATATATGAATGCAGAAAATGTCTACAATGAAAAATAAAAATGGTCCTGCCTATGGTAGAATTACTGCTGCAGGAAGTAGAGGGGAATTGGGGTGATATCTTTGGAAGCATAGGAAGGACCATCAAACAACTCAAAACCATGCCACATGAAAAATAGCTGAAAAAGTGTGATTTTTTCAACTTGGAGAAAATAGACCCACTGAACTTAATAGCTGTCTCCAAATATGTGAAGTCTGTCTCGCAGAAAGATCAGGCTTGTTAGGTAGGGCCCCAGGGGCAGATAATGAGGGATGCATCTTCCTGAAAGGTGGAGCAGAGTATCTGCAACACTCAAACCTCTTACTCTGGCTCTGAGAGGAAAAACACCACCCAGGGTGCAGCCCAGCCTTTGCCACTATATGCCTGCCAATGGGGAGGACACATCTACTCAGCCAACTGTGCCAGTGACCAGAGATAAACTCTGATGGGTTTGTGCTTTATTCTTCTAAAATTGGTGTCAGGGTGCACAGTAAATGAATTCTGGAGAACTAGGGGAAATTTGTAGGCAAAAGTAGAGACAAAGTATGGATCACTTTGGGAGGCCGAGGTGGGTGGATCACTTGAGGTTAGGAATTCGAGACCAGCCTGGTCAGCAAAGTGAAACCCCATCTCTACAAAAATACAAAAATTAGCTGGGCATCGTGGCAGGCACCTGTAATCCCAGCTACTCAGGAGGCTGAACCAGGAGAATCACTTGAACCCAGGAGGCAGAGGTTGCGGTGAGCCGAGATAGTGCCATTGCACTCCAGCCTGGGAGACAGAGCGAGACCCTGTCTCAAAAAAAAAAAAAAGTAGAGACAAAGTAGATACCAAGTGGTATCAGATTTTTTCTTTCTTTCTTTCTTTTTTTTTTTTTTTTTTTTTGAGACAGAGTTTCACTCTGTCGCCCAGGCTGGAGTGCAATGGCACGATCTCGGCTCACTGCAACCTCTGCCTCTTGGATTCAAGCAATTCTCTCCTGCCTCAGCCTCCCAAGTAGCTGGGATTACAGGTGCCCGCCACCATACCCAGCTAATTTTTATATTTTTAGTAGAGATGGGGTTTCACCATGTTGGCCAGGCTGGTCTTGAACTCCTGACCTCAAGTTATCTGCCTGGTATCAGATTTTTGCAGACTAAAAGATATCAGGTATCAGGTTTTAGCAAACCATAGAAATATTAATAATCCTAAAAAAAAGCCAAACACAGAAAGAAAGTACAGATTCTGCCCCTCTTTTGCCAGTGTAGCCATGGACATTCTAACAGCAGTTACATTGATCTGTTCTGCTATAGGCATGCTCCATGCATTTCCCTTGGGAAACTGAAGCAAACAGGATTGAATGCTTAGGGTTTGTTTGTTTGTTGGGGTAGGGGGGTGGGTGGAGTTGTTTTAAGGAACACTCCCAGCTCAGTGTCCATTTATCTATTCATTGAGGCCCTCACAACTTGTCAGTCAGGAAACTCAAATGGGTTAAAAAAATGAACTCTGGAGCCAAGGTGCTAGGGTTTAAATCCCACTTCTACCACTGAATGGCTTTTTTTATTGTTATTATCACTAGTCCCTCAAGGTCAAAGACAGAGTTAGATCACTACTTCCCTGTAAGAAAAATAAGCCTTGGCTGAGCGCAGTGGCTCACACCTGTAATCCCAGCACTTTGGGAGGCCGAGGTGGGTGGATCACCTGAAGTTAGGAATTCAAGACCAGCTTGGGCAACATGGTGAAATCCCGTCTCTACTAAAATTGCAAAAATTAGCTGGGTGTGGTGGCGCGTGCCTTTCATCCCAGCTACTTGGGAGCCTGAGGCATAAGAATCGCTTGAACCCCACAGGCAGAGGTTGTACTGAGCCGAGATCATGTCACTGGACTCCAGACTGGGTGACAGTGAGACTCTGTCCCATTCCCCCCACCTCCCCCAGAAAAGCAAGCAAGAAAGAAAAAGAAGCCTCTTAAGTAATACCCTCATCCAGCTATCCTAGTATCTGAGTGTGATTCTTCATAAATAAAGCTGTAGAAACACAAATGTCCAGAAGCAGGTTGATGATGTTTCCTAACCTCTTTTTCCTTTATGTCTTTAAACAAAACAAGAGTTTACAATAGATTTGCTACTTTATTCTGTCTATCTACTCAGACAGTAATAATAATTTTAACAAGCATTGATTCAAATATTAAATTACCCAATAGATCTATTTAGCCTGGGTATTTTGCAAGCACCTCAATTTCAACATCCCAGAAACTGAAGTCTCAAGCTTCTCTTTGCATTTCTAATATTTGTCAATATACTTAGACATTTCCAAAATCATTTTTGGTTTGGCAGTGCTACCCTGCTAAATTTTTCTCAAATCCATCTCTTCCTTGGACTCATTTCAGAACTGCCCTGAGTCAGGGCTTCTTGATATATTGCCTGGATTCCTGCTCTAATCTCTCAATGCTTCCTGTCTCTCTCTTCTCTTGTACGTAACACTTCCCTCATCTACACAACCATAAGGAAGAGCTCTCTAAAATGCAGATCTGATCTTACACTCCTATTTCCTGTAAAGTCTAAAGCCCTGGGCAAGGTTTTTATGGTTCTTCAAGGTTCCAATTTATCTTTCTAGTCCTGCTCACTCCCTGCTGTGCTTGTTCAGCCTTAAAGGCTATTAGCGGATTTCTCCCAACCACCTTCCCTGCCCTCAGCACATACAGAGTGCCAGGGCCCTTCTGGGCCTTTGCTCATGCTACTTGCTTTATCTGAGTGCTCTTCCTCCTTTCCCTGATCTGAAAACCTCTATTCAATCTTAAAGGCCCAGCTCAAATATTACTGTTGTTAAATTTCTTTGTGTTAGGATTTCTTCTATAGAATCCCTTAACAGTAGGCTTAGATAGAATTTTAGCATTTTAATAGCATTAAAGGTATAACTGGCTAAAAGGCAACAGATTAAAAACACACAAATAGTTTACTCTGACAATGAGATTAGGTGCTTTTTAAACTATATGATTTATAGTTTTATGCATTTTAACCTTCACAGCTAGCCCAATCCTAAGCACATAATAGATACTCAAAAAGTTTGTTGACTGAATAAATGAAATAAATCTTTTACCTCAAATATATTAATATTTTTACTTTTCATCAGCACAATCAAATAGAGATGTACTTTTTTGCCTTGTATTATCTGTTTACTAATTTCTAGCAATCTATTCATGCATGGGTAAATGTAACCCTAAAGAGAGAATTCTGCCTTCTTTTTAAAATGGGAATGGACTCAGTGAAAGGAAAGGGGTGAGGACCATCATTTATTCATTCATTTGATGCCTATTATCATGCACCTTTCTAGGCTCTGGAGATTTAGTGAAACAGACAACATTTCTACTCTCCAGGATCTTCTCTTCTATAAAGATAGGACAGAAGAGAAACAAGTAAACAGACAAATAAGTTAATTGTGTTTAGTGATAAGGACTAAGAGAACCATAAAATGGATTAATGTGGCACAACCTAATTAGAAATGGGGAATACATGAGATTGGGTGGTTACCTTGCCAATGAAGTGAGAGCTGCATGTTGAAAGGAGCCAGCCATGTAATAATCTGGGAATAGAGAGGACAGTTAGGGTAAAGCCTAAGGACAGGAGTGAGGAAAAGGCAGGAGGCAATGTGGCTGCTCATTATTAGCAAGGGGATCACCTGGTGTAGCAGATGCTGTACTACCTGCTTTCCACATTTCTACGTTTATGTCTGATTATATCTTCAGAAGGCTAGCCACACTTTATAGATGGAGGAACAGATCATCAGAGCAAGATAGCAGACTTTTCCAAGTCTTGTATCTTGGAAATGAAAGGTGTAATTATTCTAAATGAATTCTGACTGTCTCAGAAGTTTAGGATCAAACGTCAGGCTAAAGTAAAATGATTTTTGGTAGCATTACATCTTTATTGTCAATTGAAATGTCAACCTAAAGTAATCAAAAGGGTCAGCATTTATTTTTAAAAAGAATTCATTCCAGTCTAAATTTGCCTCTCTTGGACTTCTAGGGGTTTCTTTTTGTTACTTACAAGTTAGTTTGGGCTACAAAGACTTAATTTTAGTGTTTGAAATTTGATTTGGGGAAGTACAGCAAATATCAAAGGTTTAAAACACTTCATATCAAAACAGAATCACAGGTTATGGTAAAATAAGTCAATCATTTAGCCAAAGTGATCATGTAAAGGTTTCACAAAAAGCAAAAACTTTTAATCTTTGATAGAAAGGAGATCAAAGTTATTAAACAAAGTCCTAATAAACACAACATGAGACCAACAGAATCTGTCTCTTCCTTTGTCCAAATTTTTGCAGTTCATGCAAAAGGGAAGCACAATTTTTCTTACTATTTCTTGTTAATACTACACAAAAAGGAGGAAACCAAATTTTACTTTTGTATTAGTGTATTATCAATACTAAAGCCAATTTTAATAAAACCTTAAAAACAAATCCATCCAATCTCAACCAACTTTGACCATATAAGAGTTTCATAAACCTTTTATAACTTCTTAAAAAATTTTTTTCTATTTATTCCTTTCTCCAATATTTTAGGTCCTTTTAGTTTTATTTATATCATAGTCCTTTAATTTAAATAACCTCTTAAACTAGACAAATTAATTTTTTACTAAAAAACCACATTTTTATGTTTTTGTTTTTTCTAAAGATAAATCTTTTTTATATTTGCATCAAGACTATTTTTCCCGTATCTAGTATTTAATTACACATAAAATTAATTTAGCTCAAGCCAAGTCAAGCAAGTATCAAAAGTATAACAAAATGAACAGTTTTAGGACCTTAAAATATCTATTAGAAACAGTGTAACCCTGTCTGAGCAGTAGACCCTGGCAAAATGTATGAATTATATTTAATACTAACAATTCTGAAGACATTTACATGTTATTTTGGCAACAATTTTAAAACTAGTTCTACTTGCCAAAGAATACTAAAATCATGTGAACGAAAAGGCATTTGAGTTAGTTTCTATTTTTCTGATAAAATACTTAAGTACTTAATTTTCCTCTAAGCCAATTAATTAAAGTTCTTTCCCACATTTTGATAGTGAAATATCACATACTCATGACACATATAAATATATAGACATATAGGCACACAGACAGAAATAGATCTTATGCCTTTAGAATATTCTTCATTTACCAATTTTTAAATAGTTTTTCTCTCCCTTTAGACTATTGAGGCCTAAGCAATTGTTAGTTAGGCAATCCTCAATTTGCATGCCCAAAGACATGACTTTTAGGTGAACATTTACATCCCAAAGGCACAGAAATTAGATCTAAACGCCATTATTTGTTCAGACAAAAAAGGGAATAGGTAAAGATTCAATCAAGATAAAATGGTTGAGAAAAGTGTCTTAAGAATGGTAAATTATATAAACTTTAAGCCAATGTCTTCCTCACTGTAAAAGTTTCTAGTGGTTTAGGTACAGGAGGGAGATGCCCTTACAAATGGAGATTTTCTTTGTAAGTATAATTTTTTCTTTTATATAGAATTTCAAAATAGCCAGCTAAATCCCAGAAAGTCATATTTTGGAGACCAATCTACACTTAGGTGGTCTTTTCAACTTTGCTTGTTTTGTTTTTGTTGTTGTTGTTGTTGTTAGATTATTGACTTCAGGGTGTAGCCCTTTAATCGATAGGGCAAAGAAAGCATTTTCTGTATCTGTACTCAGTGTAGATAGCTCCGAAAAGAAACAAGAATACTTTGCCTGAAGTCCTATCTTTTATAAACACTTTATCCAGCTTTTTTTTTTCTAGTTTAAACCAAGAGTATTTTTTCACAAACCAATACATCTTAACAAAGTTTATGACTTAACTGATAATAAGCTAGGCATCTCCAAAGAGGTGCCAAGCAATCCTCACAAGATATAGGATCACCCCAAAGACAGCTCAAAGAAAGAAAAGTTTTGCTAGCTGCAAATGGAATACATGTCACATTTCTGTCTGGCTGTATTTTCTACGATCTCAGCTTGTCAGCTAAGTGCCTATGCATGAAGGTCCAAAAGCCTTGTATGCCCCACAGATGGAGAGACCGGATGTGAAAATCTGTCCATGGAAGAGGAAAAAAAATCAATAATAAATGGTTACTCCAAAAGATCAAGAGTCATATGAATAATTTAAAACAAATAAGACTGGTTCCCTGATAGGGAATTCATCCTGGGTCACAGTCATAGCAGCACAGAATCTTAGCCATAGACTGCAGTTTGGAATGATTTTCTTTAAGTCCTACAGGGGATCCAAAGAGGGAACTTTGAGATGTAAAGGATTTTAACTTGTTTCAGCTGTAATGTTGCTTAGCTAATCCCTTGAATGTTAACATTTTACAGACATGTTAAGCTTTACATCTTTAAGAGCAGGGTATTTAAAGGGTATCATCTGATATTAGGTCAATAAATCATAAGTGTCATTTATTAATTCCAGTTTAGAAAAAAAATTGTTGGATCTGTATTTTATAATTTCAGTAGTTTCATTTTCATTCTGTAGCAACTCTGTTCCCTCTGGTCCAAATTTAAATACATTTTCCCCTTTTGAGAGAAAGAAAATTGTGCAATATGGAATTCCAAAAATTTGCCTAAGAGATGTGTGGGAGTTGAGGGAACAAGCAGAAAGAGGTAAGTTCAGATCATAGAGGAAGAAGAAGGAGTAGTTGGAAATAAAAGGGAGAAAACTTTGAATGTCTTTTTAAATTTAGAAATAGTTTTAGGCAATCTCTTGTAAAGAAATGACTTTATCAGAATGTCTTTTAGAAGCTTCTAAGTACCATTGAAAAATAGCTCTCTAGGTTGTTTTGTTTTTATTTTATAGCCAGCTTTTGCTTTTTGTTTGTTTTGTATTGTTTTGTTTTTGAGACAGAGTTTCGCTCTTGTCGCCCAGGCTGAAGTGCAGTGGCAAGATCTTGGCTCACTGCAACCTCTGCCTCCCGGGTTCAAGTGATTCTCCTGCCTCAGCCTCCCAAGTAGCTGGGATTACAGGTGCCCACCACCACACCCGGCTACTTTTTTGTATTTTTAGTAGAGACGGGATTTTGCCATGTTTGGCAGGCCGGTCTCGAATTCCTGACCTCAGATCATCCGTCCGCTTTGGCCTCCCAAAGTGCTGGGATAACAGGCATGAGCCATCGCACCCGGCCACCAGCTTTTGTTTTTAATTAAACATGCAGATAAACTAATGTAGCTATTTCCAAGGTACCCCATTTTCACTATTTTAGTTTGGGGTCTTCACAGCTTAAGTAAAACCATTTTTCTAGATATTGATGTGAGGTAACACCATAAATATTATACATAAATCTCACTGTAGTTTTTAAAGATAGATCTCTCCTTTAGAGGTACGATAGTCCATAATTTAGATTTTCCTTTTGAATGACCAAAAAGATCTTGTAGGAGAAATTTTGTTCATTTAAGGAGAAAGATTAGATTTGTCAATTGAATCAAGCTTCAGAATCTGACCAGTTTTAAAGATTACAAATTTTCCCTTAAGCCACAATTATTTCACTTTTTGTTTTTAAAAAGAAGTTGTTTCTCCTTGACCAAATTTCATACAACAGAAAATGTTGCAAACTCTAACAAGAAAGACATTCAAAACCTCAGTAAAAAGTAAAAATCCCAAATCTGCAGTCAGCAAAATCTCTAGAAAATAACCAATGAAACTCCTATCTTAAAAGCAGAGCTTCAATTCCAACTCCATTGACTGTGAATTAGGTTGCTTGAATACAGTCTGAATCTCAAATCAAAATCAGGGAGATTTGAAATCTGAAAGGAGCCTCAACAGATGCCCACTGGCTCTGGCAAGGTCAGATGAACAAAAACCATTCGTGCTGGGATCAAGTCTCTAATTGTGGGCAAAATGACAGGGATCACAGGAGGCTTGCTTCTGGTCCCCCTGGGTCACCAAAATGTCAACCTAAAATAATCAAAAGGGTCAGAATCTAGTTTAAAGAGAGTTTATTCAAACACAAAGTTCGAGGATAGACTATACAAGAAAAAGAGATTACAAAAAATGGAAGCCAATGTTTTGAAGCACAGAAGTTTGGAATCACTTATATAGACAAAGCTAGAGAAGTTTAACAGAATTTCAACCTCTTTCTATGTAAGGCTTAATGCATAGTTACAATGATCTAATTAGCTGAGGTGGTCTTTTTCTTTTGGGAAAGGCATATTTAACATTCCATACTAAAGATGTAACTGTCATGGAATCTTGTGTGGCATCTGGTCTGAGTTAGGTACAGGGCAATAAAGGAGAAAGTTAATCTATAAAAAAGACCTGTGATTGGAAGAGGGGAGATCTGGTTTCTGTCTCTTTTAGTCATTTACAGAACAAGAACATTAAAGAAGAGAGTTAAGCTATAACCTAAGAAGCAGAATTGCAAACATGCTATGTGACTCAGGCTCCAGGGCTTAACTTCCTCTTTGGCACCATAAATTTAGAGTGTCCTGAAATTTTGTTCTATTTCATAATAAACTGCTGTGAACATGATAAGAAGAAAATACAGTGAAATCCCTTAATATATTGCTGACGTTAGAATAGACAATATTGCCCACCTTCAAGTTTAAATCTATTATATTAAGCTTTTCTTTATTTGCAAGTTATATGTTTCAAAAACTGTTTTCTATTCATTCAAAACTATGGTGGAAACTATGTAACAAGCTTCATTATAATGGAATTTTAATAGATCAAGTGAAAATGCCTATTGTTATAAATACTAATAAAGTTAAAACTCATGGTTAGATGAGAATATCAACTACTTGAATTTTTTACAGTTTAAAGATAAAATAAGAGAGACTTCAATGTTAAAAGGCAACATTTGTTGGCTAAACATTGCTTCCTATTTGATGTTAAAACAGTCTATCAGTTCTTCAAGGCTGAACTAGCAGATTAAACAAATAAGAAAATGCATCCACCAAGCAATTGAGGGCATGTCAAAAGAGCAGGCAGTTTGTAGTGAATACAATGAACAGATATACCTATGTTTTATTAAAAAAAAATGTAGTCCATCAGGGGTCAGTAACCACCAAAAGCCTAATTAAAATGTTGATAAAAATCCCATATAACTTTCTTCCCTTGGACCAGAATAAACTTGAGGCAATATAGAATTCAATTACACCTACACTGGGAGACATTCCTTAAACCTAAGATACCAACAGATTCAAAATTAGCGTATTATCTCAATTAATATATGCAGCACACTAGGTCAATTGCCTTAAGAAATTAGGCCACAGATTTTTAAAATGTACACAGGGAAAAAGACTACCTCCAAAGTCATTTCTAAGAAGCATGCCTTCCTCCTCAACTTAACAGTAAGATGTGAGTTTTGAAGACCTGATCTGTATACAAGATTAAAATAGAAATCCTTTACCTATATAGCAAGTACCAGAGCACTGTAGCCACAGTTCACAAAGAGGATTTGGGTGGGTGTGTTCTCTGACCATCAAAGAAACTTACCACCAGTTCATTTCTGAGTCCCAGAATGTGCTTTGGTTGTTTTCTGAGATTTATTTTCCCTCCAAGTATGCTTTTTCTGCCCAAGTGGAGATTCCCTGGCAATAATAAATAATTTCCTTTATACCTAAAAACCTCATTAGAAATACAGACCATAGTTATCAACTTGATTTTAGGAGCAAGAGGTTAGAAGTGATGTTTTCCTGGCCTTGTGCAGTCTGTCTAACTTTAGAAGAGGTACAGAGCCTTATTAACAAGGAAGAAAACAATTTACAGGGTTTTTTGAACATGGCTTCAATATCTGTGATTGATTAGATTTCAGAAGGTTAAGAGGGAATATGATGCAATTGAGATTTTTATAAAGCACAAATGAAGGAAAACTGGGTGTTTCATTTTGAAATAAACCCCCTAGGGTCTTAATAAAATATCTAGCAGTCATTACTCGATATACTCACTGCCTCTTCTGCCCCTTCCTAACAAAACTGGAAGAAGTTTAAAGAACTTTAACATTTTACCCCATGGGTCCATGTCTGTTAGTCAGTTTGGAAATAAAGCATAAAAAATAATGAAAGAAAGTTTGAATTTACATCCAGGATAACAAACAAGTTTCATATTTCCTGACAAATTCAATCAATTAGTGGTGGTGCCTGGAGTTCTGTGTTGAGCAGAATGGCGAAGTACATTGGTTCAGTGAGAAAGCCACAATGGATTATTTATGTTTACCATCGACTCAGGAAGGGAATGTACCAGCACTCATACTATGCACTTGCTAAATCTGATAAAGACATTCAAAGAAATAATGGAGATGGAATGTTTATTTTAGAAATCACGATGGAGAAAAAATAAAACTTTCATACCAAAAAGGGAGAAAAGGAAAAATACGTGTGTGTGTGTTTTCCATGTAATGCTTCTAGAGTAAAGCCATTCATATATTCCTTAAGTACATATTTATTTAGTACTTATTTAATATTAATAATACTATAATGTCTATAATATAAATATAAAATATTTCATATTTAATGTACTTACCTATAAAGCACATTAAATATAAAATGTAAATTATATATTATATATAAATAATAAAATAATAAATATGTATTAAGTGCATCATTCCAAGGTGATAGAGATATGATAGGAAACAAATTTCCCACCCTATTATCATCCATGTGATGAAAAATCAAGAAAGCAATTGAACAAGTTAAGATATTCTGGGAGTTATAATGGCTGAGAATTTTTTTAAAGCAAAGAAAGTGAACAGAGATTATGGAGGGAGTGATTTCATATGAAATGGTCAGGGAAGGCTTCTTTAAGAAGGTGGCATTTGAAGAGAACCTGAAAGAAGTTAGTGGAAGGGCTGTGTAGATATATGGGGGGCAGGTACCCAGTTCAGGAAGGAGTGATTTGGGAGTATCCTTGACATGTTTAAGTTCAGCGTAGCTGGCCTGTAGAGAACATTAGGGAAAGTGGAAGAGATAAGGTGAGAGAAGTGGAGGGGAGAGGCTGCACCGGGGAGCAGATGATGAGGGACCTAGCTTCATTGGCCATTGTAAGAGAGGTGTCTCTTATTTTGAAACAGAAAGTTGCCAGTGGAGAGTTCTGAGCAGAGCAATGACATGGATAACTTGGCTGCTGTTGAGAAAAACTGTGGCATAAAAGGGAAAGGGTCAAAAATAAAAGAAAATACACCACTCAGGAGGGTGCTGCAATAATCCAGGCAAAAATGATGGTACCTTGAACCAGTATAGTTGTGGTGGAGGTGATGAGAAGGGATCATATTCAGAATATTTTGAAGGTAAAGCAGATGGAATTTACTAATGCATTGGAGGTGAGATATGAGAGAAAGAGAAGATTCCAGGAAGACTCCAATATTTATGGCCTGTGCAACTAGTAAAATAGATATGTCATATGTTGTGATAAGCAGAATTGTGAGAGCAGCATTTTCAGTGAAATCACTACTTAATCTTTGAATCTGTTAGATTCTTTTTAATGTTTTAAATCAACTTCGTTAGATATAATTCACAATCAATAAAATACACCAATTTAAAATGTTCAGTTTGAGAAGTTTTGACAGTTTTACGCTTTTATGTAACCATCACTGGAATCAAGATATAGAGTTTTTTTTATTAACCCCAACATTTGTCTTGAGTCCTGTCCCAGTCAATTACCCAGCCATCACAGGCTCCAGGCAACAACTGATCTGATTTTTGTCCCTATACCTTTAATTGGTCTCTTCTAGCATTTCATATACATGTGATCATACAGTATGTAATTCTTTGGGTTGACTTCTTTCACTCAGAGTAATATTTTCAAGATTTTATATATATTATGCATATCAGTAGTTCATTTCTTTTATTATTTTTTATTATTGAGTTGTAAGAGTTCTTTCTATATCCTGATATTACTCCCTTGTCAAATAATGTGTAACAAATATTTTCTCCTAGTCTGTGGCTTGTCTTTTCTTTTGAATAGTAGAACTTTTAATTTTGTTAAAGTTTGATTAATCAAATTTCTTCTATAGTTTGTGTATTTAATTTTCAAAAATTTTTTTACCTATCCTAAGGTTGTAAAACCTTTCTCCTATGCCTTTTTCTAGAAGATTTACAGTTTTAGTTTTAAGTTTAGCTCTATGATTCATTTCAAGTTAGTTTTTGTATATGGTGTGAAGCTTATTTTTTTCCAAATGAATATCTTCTCCAGCACAATTTTTTGAAAATAATTTACTTTCCCCATTGAATTGCCTTGGCACCTTTTTAAAAAGTCCTTTGACCATAGATGTCAAGGTGTATTACTGGACTCTATTCTGCTGAAGTCATCTATATGTGTGTTTGTCAGGCAGTACTGCGCTGTCCTGAAGACTATAGCTTTATAGCAAGACTTGCTTTGACCCTCTAGTAAGTGGCAATGACTTATTGTTTTTACTAATACCTGGGTTTCCTTACCATCCATTGATTGTCTTCTCAGCTCTTTTACTATTTAAATGCATTAAGTTCTCTTTATTGTAAATACTGGAAGTGGTTTATGTTTTTTAGGTTAAATCTGATAAATAGAAATTCTCACAAAATTGCTCGGTAGGTACTAGCAATTTTAATTATCCTCACTTTAGAGGAGGAAATTGAACTACAAAGAAATTGAGTAATTTGCCCCTGTTGGAAGAGACACAAAATGGTGGGGGCAAGATTCAAAGCCAGGCAGTCTAGCTCCAGAGCTTGTGCCTCTAACTTCTGCTCTCCTGCTGAAGACATCATTGTACAGATGATATTCAAACTGAGTGAAATCACAGAGAACGGGGGTAGGAAGAGGTCAGTAGACTGAGCCCAGGGGAACTCAATTGTTTAGGGCTCAGAAAGATGAGGAAGAACTAAGGAAGGAGGCTGTAAAGAAGCAATGAGTGAAGGAAGACAACCGTGAGAAGGAATTGTCCCAGAAACCAGTGAAGAAAGTGTTTCAAGAGAAAGGACATAATAAACTATGCCAAATGCTGCTAGAAGGTCAAGTTATGTGAGCACTGGGGAAACATTGGATTTGGCAACAGAGGTCATTGATGTTCTTGATAGGACCAGTTTTGGTAGAATTGTGGGAGAAGAGTTAGCCCAATTAGAGTGAATTCAAGAGTGAATAAAAAGAGAGGAAATGGAGACAATGAGTATACACCACTCTTTAGCTGCGTGTGTGTTGGGGAATGGGTGAGAGCTGTGGGTAGGAAGGGGAGAGATGAAGTCAGGTATGTGTAATGAAACAGATAGTCTAATGAAAGAGAAAATATTGATGATGTAAACGTTGGAGACAGAAAACCACACACTTTGAAGTGTTTCCAAACACGTAGTTTGCTACCTAGTGCCATATGTTTTTCAGTGATAAGAACATGGAGTGTAATTCCCCTTCCCACAAGAATGTCACCTCACCTATATCAGATCTACATATGTGAGTTATTGGCCTCAACTACCAGACTCCAAAATGCTTGTAAACCCAAGGTTTTGGACAAACATATTGAGAGCTTAGGCCATGGCAGGACTACACTCTGTCAGCTGCCTCTCTGAAGACCAAGAGCCCAGGCTGTGGCAGGACTACTCTCTGCCAGCTTTAAGCTACTCTCTGAAGCCTTGCCCACCAACCCTGGCTCTGCTCACTAGTGTCTAGGACCTTGCTGGTCATTGCGGATCCACACTGTGTTTATCAAACTGTCTCTTCCAAGAACCTTTCATAGAAAGGTACACCTCAAACTTTGATTAGATTTTCGATCTACAGAGGCTTGTTTCTATCCTTATTGAGCAACTAGACTTTAATAATTGGACTCTAAATGAAATTAGAACTCACTCATGATGTGGTTAATGTACAGTAGTTACTGTTTATCCTTGAGGAATATGCTCCAAGACCCCCAGTGGACTCCTAAAACTGCAGATAGTACTGAACCCTGTGTACACTATGCACAAACTTCTTTTTTCTTCTTTACAATTTCGTGTATAGAAGACTCATGCTTACCATAGATCTTAGCAACCTCAGCATACATTTTTTTTCTTTCCTTATTAAGTTGACAACTTTCCCCTTTTCACTTAAAGGTAGCACTTTACGGCCTCTCTTTTGAATATCTGGGTTGTCTACAATCACTACTCCTTTGCTTTGGGGCATTATCAAGTAAAATACAGGTATCTCATTTGTTGAGTGTATTCCCTGTGATATTCATTCTCATTATTCTCCTCCATTTGAGCATTGTGTGGAGGAATAAAAAAGAACCTCATTGTATGGCAACAAACCATGTGATTCATAAAACCATACTGTGATCTTCTTATTTTAACCACACAAAACACCCCAATTTGGGCAGGACCCAAATTCATGCAGAGACAAATGAGGAAGGGGGCCAGACCCAGTGCCAAGAGGCAGAGTCAAGTGCAAGAGGAGGAAAAATAGCCCATTCGTAATGGTGGAATAAGGCAGAGGATATAGGAGCAAGGTGGTTTGACAGACGATGTGGTGGGAAGGTGTGAAAGTCCTCCTCTAGTGGCTTCTATTTTCTTGGGAAAATAAGAAGTTAGATCATCAGTTGAGAGTGAAGAGAAGCAAGAAAGTTGTGGAGGCTTAACTAAAGTGGAAAAGGTATGAATTAGGAGACTGGAAATTAAATAGGTCAGGGGTATATTGTAGAATTGCGCAGTGGCAGCATTAGAGACCTGTTTGGGTTAAAAATTGCAAATTTAACTGAGATTCAGTCAGCTGATACTGAATAAGTACCCTTCATTTTCTAAATAGCCACTTTTTTTTTCTAATAACATAGTTGGAAAAGAATAGTAAGGCAGATCTTTGAATTTTAAAAACTGACCAAAGGAATCTCCATAAAATTTGCCAATTAATCATAGTAGTGTATCAAAGATAATTTTCTGATTTTGTTAATTTCACTGCAATTATGTAAGAGAATTCCTGGATTTTAGAAAACAAACAATGAAGCATTTAGAGGAAAAAGGGATAATCATGTGTGCAGCTTACTCTTAAATGATTTAGAAAAAAAAGTAAGTATAAAATGAAATATATGTATATTTTTTCTTCCCAGTTTCATTAAGATATAATTAACAAATGAAAATTATCTATATTTATGGTACACAACATGATGTTTTGATGTGTGTACACATTTTGAAATGACTAAATCTAACTGATTAATATAATTTTGAAATAAAGATAAAATTTTTTTAACAAAATGAGCATGTAAAAAATAAAAGTCAGGGGAATATATCCCTTATGGCATTGGGTACTTTAAACTCTGCTATACTGAGAGAAACAAAGTAAGACAAATCATACTAAAAACAAAGGAGATGAACAAACAAAGTGGGTTTTTTCCAAGGCCAGCTGGATAAATTCGTACACAGACTAATCAGTCTGTATAGAGGGTTGTGGAAAGGAGAGGTTGATTGGCTTAATGCAAGATTTCTCACCTTTAGCACTCTTGACATTTTATGGTCAGGTAATTCTCTGTTGTGAAGGTTGTCTGTGCATTGTAGGTCAGATGGTTAGCATCATCTCTGGCCGCTACCTACTACACAACAGTAGCAAACCCTCTCAAGTTGTCACAACCAAACATGTGCCCAGACATTTTCAAACATTCCTTGAAACAATACCACCCCAGGTGAGAACTGATGCCTGAACAGACACTTGCCTATGATGTCTATATTTGGAATTTTAGAAGCTAGGATTAAATATATGTTTACATATATATACATACATAAATACACGCACATATATATAAAATACACAAACATATGTATTTATGTATATATAATATATTTACATATTATGCATTATGTGTATGCATGTAATATATAGAAAGGGAGATAGAGAAAGACTGAGACAGAGAGAGAGTGAAAAAGGACAGTACAGTAGATGTAATAAATGTTAATATTTGGAAAAATATGGGTTGAAAGTATCCAGGATTTGTTTATACTATTTTCGAAAATTTTTCATAAGTTCAAAATAATATCAAAAAAAGACTGGCCTATATTTGAAATGAAATGCATCTGGAAAACTACTAAAGTCTTATATTGTATTATCTTGATTCTCCCATATAACCTTATAATGTCATGATTCAGAAATTTTAAGAAACTATTACTCAAAATTTATATTTGAGAAAAAAGTCAAGGCAAGGCTGATGGTAGTTTGTTTTTAATTTGTGGCTCAAACCATTAGAGAAAATCTGTCACTGAGACATAAATTTCTATTACGAAGAAAGAACATGGATATACTGGTTGTTATAAAGACTCTCTCTATATGTACATTTTCCTCAGGACTCTCCCACACAACAGAGAACATCTTTCTCAAGACAAAATTCTAGGAACCATCCTTGATTCTTCTCCCTCACCCTCCACATCTAGTTCTTCAGTAAGTCTGTTGATTTGATCCCTCATATCCCTACTGAACCCCTCCATTCTCTTTGTCTCTATAATCATCAGTCTGGTCCATGTCACCATGTCACTCCCCTGTAGACCTGTTTTCATTATTGCCCCTTCCCCCAATCCATCTACACAGCAACTAAAGTCATCTATTTAATATCACTCTTGTTTAAATGCTTAAATATTCAGATGTGCTAGAATTTTACAACATTTCACCTGTAGTCAACGATAATGTATGATTCACTTAAAAATTTGTTAAAAGGGTGGATTTCATGTTAGGTGTTATTACCGTAATAAACTAAAATTAACAAAGAAAAGAAAGCTATGTGGCATTAAAGCTGGTTTACATCTTTAAAAAATCTATTAAAATAAATTTTTAAAGAAAAGGATTTTTCCATAAGATTAATAAAGCTAATAAGAAAGAGCAATCAAGACATGCAATTGCCACTTTAATCTTGAAGATGGTGGTTCATATTTTCTTGCAGGGTATTTAGAGCATAGCATCTTACCCAAATCCCTTTTGGAAGTTGTCGTAAAACTCCAGGGTCTCTGTTTAAATAGAAGTGCACAATGAAGTGGCTTAGAGAAATTAACAAAAACAATGAAGGAGTTCAATTTTAATAGAAGATAAAGAGCTAGAGTGGAGAGAAAGGCAAAAGATGAAAACTTTAAATTCTTATGTACCATATCTTAAATATCAAAGACCCAAGATCTGTATATGAACCTAAGTTACTGAAAGTTATGGTCATTTAGAGACAGAAAAGGAGATTGTCAGTAGCACGGTAATATCTCAAATCTGGGAAGAAAACTCTAAATATTTCTAAGCTTTTATTGAATCACAAAGAAACTTTCTTGAGATCGAACTTTGTCATTTTATAAAAACTCTATTTAGCCTTTAAAGATTATTTTAACAAAAGAATATTTCAATTTAGGGTTTTACAGAAATTAGCCAAATGGAGATGGCTGTCTTAATGACCACGTTTTCTTCCATTTTCACTGAGATAATGTGCACAAACACTCAGGAACTCAGAGTTTTCCCAATGCCTCTTTCAAATTTTCACATTGTGTAGATTCTGAACAATTGTTGCAAACTAGTTCCTGACAATTTTTATAATGGAATTTCTTCCATCAGCTGGGTCAACTGTTTCTGTGTGTCTAGCTAATTACTTTTTTATTTTAAGTGATATGGACCCACAATTTAACAAAACCAGTAAGACAGAAACATATAATGAAAAGAAAATGTCTTTTCCTATGTCATGCCCAGTCTTTCTCCTGAAAGGTAAGCAATTGAGAAGAGTTTCTTATAGATCCATCAGGGAGTAGAAGAAAGATAGGCACACGCATGTACACACATGTTTATACATATGTGCATAACATTTTGCACAAATTGCACTATATGCCAAAGACTGTTTGAATCTTTACATTTTTCAATTTGAATAACTTGCTAAGTTACCTTTCAAGGAGGTTGTGTATTTTATTTTCCTACCAGTAGTGTATGAATGTATCTATTTTTTCATGCCCTCCCCACCATTGGATGTTAACAAATGTTTTGAATTGTGTTAATCTGAAAAGTGAAAAATATCACTTTGCTTTCACTGACTTTATTTAATTATGAATGAAAGTATCTTTTCATGTTTTTGACCCTTTACATTTCTTTTTCTGTCAAGTGTTTATCATCTTTGCCTATTTTCTGCTACATTTTATCTTAAGAGGCCATTCAAGTAAACCCCATGTAAATTTAGAAAAATTACCAATAGTAGGTTTTATATATATATATATATATATATATATATATATATATATGTATATATATATATATATATCACATTTGTAAGTATAGAAAAATCACCATTTGTAGGTTATGAACACTTTTCCAAGATACTCACATTTTTTTGTTTTTTTAATTTTGTTTTTTACAAAATTATGCTTAGAGTCTTTTTATGGTATAATTTTCAACATTTTATACCTGTTTCTTTATGGCTTTGGTGTTTTGTGCCCTGCTTAGAAGGTCCTCCCTGTGACAAAATTTATGTATAAGTTTATCCAACTTTTCTTACAGTAATTTTATAATGCTATTTTAAAATTTTTGATATAGCCAGATATTATTTTAATATTAGTATTAGACAGAAATCAACTTTAGTTTTCCAAACTTCTAGCAAATTTTTGCAGTATTACTTATGAACCTCTTTTTCTTTCTTTCTTTTTTTTTTTTGAGACGGAGTTTCTCTCTTGTTGCCCAGGCTGGAATGCAATGGTGCGATCTTGGCTCACTGCAACCTCCACCTCCCAGGTTCAAGCGATTCTCCTGCCTCAGTCTTCCCAAGTAGCTGGGATTACAGGCATGCACCACCACGCCCGGCCAATTATGTATTTTTAGTAGAGATGGGGTTTCTCCATGTTGGTCAGGCTGGTCTCGAACTCCCAACCTCAGGTGATCCACCCGCCTTGGCCTCACGAAGTGCTGGGATTACAGGTGTGAGCCACTGCGTCCAGCCTTATGAATCTATTTTTCTTCACCCATTTGCCACCTTCATAATATATTAATTTCCCATAAATAGTTGTATCTATTACTGGACCTTTTATTATGTTTCCTATATATAATTATTTTATAGTACCAAATTCTTTTAATATTTTTACTTGATTAGACGTTCTATTATCTGATAGACAAGTCTTCTGCTGTCACTTTTCTGTTTCAAAATTGTCCTTGCTATACTTACATGTTTACTTTTACGAATTTACTCTGTTAGTATTTTGTCTGATTCATCCCCAAAAGCTTTTGCTATTTTAATGAGACTGATGAACTTTAATTAATTTAGCATTAATTGCTAGCTTTGCAATGTTGACTTTACCTATTCATAAGCCAGCTTCCATTTTATCAATCTCAATGAAGTTAAAAATGTAGTCATAACAGTTTTATAAATTTTATACATTCCTCATTAAGTATTTCTCTTTTATAACTATTATATGTTGAATATTTTCTTCCTTTTTCTTTTTTTTTTTTTTTTTTTTTTTGAGACAGGGGGTCTTGCTCTGTCACTCTGGCTGGAGTGCAGTTGTGCAATTTCAGGTCACTGCAACCTCTGCCTGCCGGGTTCAAGCAATTCTCCTGCCTCAGCTTCTGGAGTAGCTGGCATTACAGGTGCACGCCAGGACACCTGGCTAATTTTTGTATTATTAGTACAGATGGGATTTCAATATATTGGCCAGGCTGGTCTTGAACTCCTGATCTCAGACGATCCACCTGCCTCGGCCTCCCAGAGTACTGGGAGATTACAGGTGTGAGCCACCACACTCAGCTTTTGTTTTTCTAACATTTATTGTTTACTGCTAGAGCAGCTTCTTTACTGTTGAGAAAGATTATATATTATTATTGCTTTTTTAAATTTTTATTTATTTATTTTGAGACAGAGTCTCGCTGTTGTTGCCCAGGCTGGAGTGCAATGGCACAATCTCAGCTCATGCAACTTCTGCCTCCCGGGTTCAAGCGATTCTCCTGCCTCAGCCTCCTGAGTATCTTCTTAATTGGAATGTTTATAGTGTTTCTCCATTAAGCAGTTTCATTATGCTGGATTTTTGTCAAATATATTCAACATCTATTGGGTTGGGATATTTTCCCCCTGTTAGTCCAATATTATGAAAAATTATATTAGTTAATTTTCTAGCATGTAAATATAGTTGCATTCTTAGGATGAACTGCACTTGACGAAGAAGTAGAATTTATTAATTGATCCACTTAATGCTATTTACAAATGTTTTAAATACATGCATATTAATAGTGTAAGTGAGCTTGGTCTGCAATTTTTTTTTTTTTTGGTGGGAAGTCAAATTTTAGTATCTTTTTCTGCTCAAATATGTAGTTGAAAGCTTTTCTTCTTTCTCTGTTCACTGAGATACTTTAAATCGGGTTGGAATTATCCATGAATTATCATTGTCCATGAAACCCTTTAAACTGATTTTTCAGAAAGTAGTCCTTCTATCTTTTCTGCAAATTTGGTTTGATTTCTTCTTTATAAAAAGACTTTTTTTTTTTTTTCAGACGGAGTCTCGCTCTGTCGCCAGGCTGGAGTGCAATGGCACGGTCTTGGCTCACTGCAATCTCTGTCTCCTGGGTTCAGACGATTCCCCTGCCTCAGCCTCCTGAGTAGCTGGGACTACAGGTGCCTGCCACCACACCTGGCTAATTTTTGTATTTTAGTGGAGACAGGGTTTCTCCATGTTGGCCGGGATGGTCTCCATCTCCTGACCTCATGATCCGCCCACCTCAGCCTCCCAAAGTTCTGGGATTACAGGTGTGAGCCACCACGCCTGGCCTATAAAAATACTTTTAAGTATTTTTAAGTATAAATGTCTAGGTAGTTGTGGTTTGGATCTTTCAAAATTAATTATCTTTTTTTTTTTTTTTGGTTTTGAGACGGAGATTCACTCTGTCACCCAGGCTGGTATCAGTAGGCTCTGTGGTGATCATCTCTTTTTTATTCTTGATCTTGATGGTTTATCTCCTTGTCTTCTTGATCACTACCTGAGAGTGTCAATTTTGTTGGTCTTTTCAATGAATCAGTCTTTGGTTTTGTTCATTTTCTCTAGTCTGTTTTCCATTTTGTTGATTTCTGTTCTTATCTTTAATATTTTCTTCAACTGACTGTGTATAGTTTGCTTTTTTTTTTAGCTTCTTAAGGTGGGATATTAGGCATTGACTTGAAATATTTCTTCTTTTCTAATATGAACATTTAAAAGTATGAGTTTCCCTCTAAGGATAGTATTAGATTTATCTGTTCATTATAATTCAGTCAAAAGTATTTTCTGATTTTCTGTATTCTCTGTGATATTCTTTGAGTTCATCCTATTTGGAGTTTGCTGAGCTTCTACAGTCTATAAGTTTATGTCTTTCACCAAATTTGGGGAATTTTAGCCGGATTTTCTTCAACTAGCTTTTGTGCCTCTATCTCTTGCACCAACTCTCTAAGACTCCTATCCATGTATGTTAGACTTTTTAATATTGTCCTATGTGTCCCTGAGAGCTGAGAGTTTTTTCCAACTTGTTTTCTCTTTATTCTTCAGGTTGGGTAATTTCTTTCAACTTATCTTAAAGTTTACTGACTGGTTCCTCTGTCATCTCCTTGCAGCTTGTGAACCTAACTATCCAGTAAGACTTTTAAAATTTGAATATATTATACAATCTTGTGCCACATAATGACATTTCAATCATCAACAGATTGCATATATGAGGGTGGCCCATAAGATGATAATGGAGATAAAATTTCCCATTGCTGGCCGGGAGTGATGGCTCATGCCTGTAATCCCAGCACTTTGGGAGGCCAAGGTGGGTGGATTGCCTGATGTCAGGAGTTCAAGACCAGCCTGGCCAACATGGTGAAACCCCATCTCTACTAAAAATACAAAAAAATTAGGTGGGCGTGGTGGTGGGCACCTGTAATCCCAGTTACTTAGGAGGCCGAGGCAGGAGAATCGCTTGAACCCAGGAGGCAGAGGTTTCAGTGAGCTGAGATCACGCCACTGCCCTCCAGCCTGGGCTACAAGAGTGAGACTTTGTCTCAAAAAAAGAAAAAGAAAAACAGTTTCTACTGCCTAGTGACATTTTGATTATCCTGACCCTGTGTAGGCCTAGGGTTAATATGTGTGTTTGTGTGTTAATTTTTAACAAAAAAGTTTAAAAAGTAAAAATAAGTAAACAGTTGTAAAAATAGAAAAAAGTTTAGAGGATAAGGTTCTAAAGAAAAATAATTTTTGTACAATTGTACAATGTTTTGTGTTTTAAGCTAAATGTTATTACAAAAGAGTCAGATAATTTTAATTTAAAAGTTTATAAAGTAGAAAAGTTACAGTAAGCTAAGGTTTATTACTGAAGAAAGAAACTTGTTTTATATAACTTTAGTGTGTACAGTGATTATAAAGTCTACAGTAATGTACAGTAATGTCCTAGGCCTTCACATTCACTCACCACTCACTCACTGACTCACCTAGAGAAATTTTCAGTTCTGCAAGTTCCATTCAAGGTATGTATCCTATACAGGTATTCCATTTATTATCCTTTATACCATATTTTCACTAGACCTTTCCTATGGTTATATATGTGTAGCTAAATAAATACTTTCCATTGTTTTACCACTGTCTATAGTATGTAATAGAGTATTTTACCACTGTCTATAGTATTTAATAGAGTAACATGCTGTGCAGGTGGTAACCTAGGAGCAACAGGCTATCCTATATGGCCTAGGTGTGTAGTAAGCTGTATCATCTAGGTTTGTGTAAGTACACTCTATGGTATTCACACAACAACAAAAATCACCTAACAACACATTTCCCAGAACATATCCTTGTTGTTAAGCAATGCATAATAGTACTTATCACCTCTAAAATTTCTATTTGGTTCTTTTTAAAAAGACAAGTCTCTACATGTCTCATGAGACTTTCTCTCATTTCATTTTTTTCAGGAGTGTTCGCTCTACAACATGTTGCCTTAGTTATATTAGCTGCATTAAAGTATCTGATAGTTCCAATATCTAGGAGGATCTCAAGGATGACAGGAGTTCATTGTCTTTTCTCCTGACGATTAGACACATGTTCTTGGTTCTCTGTATGTAGGATAATTTTTTTTTATTGTATCCTTAACATTGTAAAAGATGGATTGGGTAGACTATGGTTTCTGTTTTAAGTATCTGTAGAAGCCAGTCCGATTCAGGCAGTATGATCTGTCTCATTTCTGTAGGTGGTAATTTGAATTTCAGTTCCATGTTCGGAGCCTTTGTTAATCTGTTGTAGGTGTTGCTCATGTATTTATGGTTCATGGATTAGTATGAGGGTGTTTTGAGTAGTCTAGTTATCATTTCAGTTATTTTATCCATTATTTAGGTCTTTCCTGAGTAGGCTTTATTCCAGGGGGCATTATTCCTGAGTTAAAGCAAGAGATTTGTGCATGGAGATCAAAGCTCCGTCCCATTTTGAAACCTCTGTTATGTGCTAATTTGGTCTGACTTGTACATGCATAGATAGGAGTTAGGCAGAAACCTGTGTAGGATCACATACAGAATTAGAAAACTTCTCTAATTTTCTCCTTCCTAAGAATTTCCCCCTAACTCACTTCAGCTTGTAAAGTCCCCTTTTCCTGGTTTCTATGGGGCCTGCTCTTAGAGCAGAGTCACAAAGGAAAAATCAATTAACAAATAAATGGGAAACTCACTCAATATGGAACATGTCATTCAGTTTTTGCTCTCTTCTACAATCTGTCTTCTTTTGTTTCTTTTCAGTGTAATTCAGAATTTTTGTTTGTTGTTCAGAGTTTAGTATTGGGAGAAATGGGTTGTAGTAGGATTATTTTCTGAGATTTTGGCATTTGTTTAATGATACCTTTTGTACTTAAATGACAACAAATCTTGAATTTTTTTTATTAATTCATTTCATCAGAGCTCTAGAGACTTTGTGTCACTGTAAAATTAGAGGGAGTCTGAAACTACCTGCATACCGTTTTTTTACACCTGGATCCTCATAAAATTCTTTGTCCTTGAAGTTTAGAGTAGATTATTCTTGATGATGAACATTCTTCATCAGTTTTTCTTAGTACATGGTAGGCCTCTTGATCTGTGGTTTCAGTTCTTCCTTTTCATGTAAAAATACTCATTATTTTGTCTTTGAATATTTTTCTCTATTCTAGTGCTTGGTTTATCTTATCCATGCATACTGAAGGTCTTCATATAGAATTATTGTTTGCTTTCCATATCTTTTACATTGCCTCTAATTGTTTTAATCTCTGTCCCTTTCATATCAAATCACTGTTATTATCTCAAACCTTCCCTCCATTTCAAAAACTCTGTTTTTAACATGTTTAACTTATTCATTAGTTCTGTGTTAAGCACCCCCAGTTTGGTGCCTTAGCCCTGAAATCTCCCATTTTATTTCTTTCTATTGCTTCATTATTTTATTTTTTATTTCAATTTTACTGAATGTATGTTCTTCTTAATTCTTCTGTGTTCAGATCTCTCATGTATGTATAGTGAATTGAATAGTGTTACCCCAAAATTTACGTCTGGAAACTCAGAATATTACCTTATTTAGAAATAGTCTTTCCAGATGTATTTAAGATAATAATTGAGATAAGATTATGCCGGATTAGGATGCACCCCATGTCCCAAGAGAGTACCCTTATAAGAAACGGAAAAGGTCAAACAGAAATACCTAGAGAACAAAGCCATGTAAAGATCAATGTACAGACTGGAGTGATACATCCACGAGCCAAAGAATGCCAAGGATTGCCAGAAACCACCAGAGGCTAGGAGAGAGGTACAGAAGAGAGGAAGTAGCTTTGGAATTGGGAAATGAGTAGAGGCTGGAAGAATTTTTAAGCCACTTTATAGAAAAAAAAGTTTAGATTGCCTTGAAGAGATGCTTGGTGGAAATATGAATGTTAAAGGCAATTCTGCTGAGGGCTCAGATAGAATTAAGGAACATGGTAGAGAGATCTTCTATCATCTTAGTATATCTATCTATCTATCTATCTATCTATCTATCTATCTATCTATCTATATATAGAGAGAGAACAGAATGTTGGTAGAAATATAAGTAAAAGGATGTTTCTGGTGTGATCTCAGAAGGAAATGAGAGGTATGTCATCAAAAAATGGAAGAAAGAAAATTCTCATTATAAGGTGACAGAAATTGTTTTTACCTTATTTTGTTATTTTCTTTTAACTTTTGTTTAAGGTTCAGGGGTACACTTGCAAGTTTGTTATATACATACACTCATGTCACAAGGGTTTGGTGTACAGATTATTTCATCACCCAGGTACTAAGCACGGTACCCAAAAGGTATTTTTTCTGATCTCGTTCCTCCTCCGAACCTTCACTTCCAAGTAGACCCCAGTATCTAGCATTCTCCTCTTTGTGTCCATGTGTTCTGGTTCTTTAGCTCCCAGTTGTAAGTGAGAACATGTCATATTTGGTTTTCTCTTCCTGCATTAGTTTGCTTAGGATAATGGCCTCTAGCTCTATTCATGTTGCTGCAAAGGACACGATTTCATTCTTTTTTATGGCTGCGTAGTATTCCATGTTGTATATATACCACATTTTCTTTATTGAGTCTACCATTAATGGGCATTTAGGTTGATTCTGTGTCTTTGCTATTATAAATAGTTTTGTGATGAACATATGCATGCATGTGTCTTTATGATAGAATAATCTATATTCCTTTGGTTATATACCCAATAATGGGATTGCTGGATTGAATGGTAATTCTGTTTAGTTCTTTAAGGAATTGCCACATTGCTTTCCATGATGACTGAATTGATTAACACTCCCACCAGCAGTGTGTAAGTATTCCCTTTTCCCTGCAACCTTGCCAGTATGTTATTTTTTGACTTTTTAATAATAACCATTCTGACTCACGTGAGATAGTATGTCATCACGGTTTTGATTTACATTTCTCTAATGATTAGTGATGTTGGGCATTTTTTCATATGCTTCTTGGTTGCATGTATGTTTTCTTTTGAAAAAATGTTTGTTGATGTCTTTGCCCACTTTTTAATGGGGTTGTTTGGTTTTTGCTTGTAAATTTGTTTAAGTTCCTTATAGACTCTGGATATTAGAACACTGTCAGATGTATAGTTTGTAAATATTTTACCCTATTCTCTAGTTGTCTGTTTACTCTGTTAATAGTTTATTTTGCTGTGCAGAAGCTCTTTAGTTTAATTCAATCCCACTTGTCAACATTTGCTTGTGTTGCAACTGCTTTTGGGGTCTTCATCATGAAATTTTTGCCGGTTCCTATGAGGTGACAGAAATCTTGAGTGAATTGTGTTCTATAGTTGGGCAGAAAGCAAAACACATAAGTGATTAACTTGGATGTTTGAGCTGAGGATATTTCTAAGCAAAGTGTGGGAGGTTCAGCCTTATTTATCTTTGCCGCTCGTAGAAAAATGTGGCAGAAAAGACATAAATTGAGGAAGAAACTGTTAAGCAAAAGAAACCAGAGTTTGATGATTTGGAAAATTCTCAGCCTATCAGGTAGTATGCTCTAGAAGTAAGAACAAACATCCTGAACAATATTTTGCTGAAAAGATTACATGTGTAACTCAATAATCAGATCAACCTTCTCAGCAGAAGCCAAAAATTTAGATGACATTATTCAAGAAAATGTCTGTAGAGGACTCTTGTCCAATAGCATGGACTGCTGTGAATTCCATGGGAAACCAACAAGGCTTTTCAGAATGCTACACTAGCAGAAACACTATGTGATAGTTTATTTTCACACTGCTGTAAAGACATACCTGAAACTGGGTAATTTATAAAGGAAAGAGGTTTAATTGACTCACAATTCTGCGTGGCAAAGGAGGCCTCAAGAAACTTACAATCATAGTGGAAAGCAAAACAGGCACATCTTACAGGTGAGAGGCAGGTGAGAGAAGTGAGTGCCAAGCAAAGGGGACGCTCCTTATAAAACCATCAGATCTCATTAGAACTGACTCACTATCATGAGAACAGTGTGAGGGTAACTGCCCCCATGATTTAATTACCTCCCATAGGGTCCCTCCCATGACACATGGGTATTATGGGAACTACAATTCAAGATGAGATTTTGGTGGGGATACAAAGCCTAACCATATCATTCCGTCTCTGACCAAATCTCATGTCCTCACATTTCAAAACACAATCATGCCTTCCCAACAGCCTCCCAAAGTCTTAACTCATTCCAGCATTAACTCAAAAGTCCTAGTCTGAAGTCTTATCTGAGACAAGGCAAGTCCCTTCCGCCTATGAGCCAGTAAAATTAAGAGCAAATTAGTTACTTCCTAGATACAATGATGGTTCAGGCATTGGATAAATACACCTGTTCCAAATAAGATAAATTGGCCAAAACAAAGGGGTTATACGCCCCATACAAATCTGAAATCAATAGGGCCGTTATTAAAACTTAATGCTCCAAAATAATCTCCTTTGACTCCACATCTCATATCCAGGTCATGCTGATGTAAGAGGTGGGCTTCCACAGCCCTGGTCAGTTTCACCTGTGGCTTTCCAGGGTACAGTCCCGCATCCTGGCTGTTTTCACAAGCTGGCATTGAGTGCCTGTGGCTTTTCCAGGTGCAGAATGTAAGCTGTCAGTGTATCTCCCATTCTGGGATCTGGAAGACGGTGGCCCTCTTCTCACAGCTCTACTGAGCAGTGTCTCTGTGGGGACTTTCTGTGGGAGCTCCAACCCCACATTTCCCTTCTGCACTGCCCTAGAAGAGGTTCTCCATGTGCACACCTCTGCCTGGATATCCTGGCATTTCTGTCCATCCTCTGAAATCTAGGCAGAGGTTCTCAAAGCTCAATCCTTGTCTTTTGTGCACCTGCAGGACAAACACCAGGTGGAAGCTGCCAAGGCTTGGGGCTTACACCCTCTGAAGCAATGACCTGAGCTGTATCTTGGCCCCTTTTAGCCACAGCTGGAGCTGAAGTAGCTGGGATGTGGGGCACCACGTATTGAGGCTGCACAGGGCAGGGGGGCCCTGGGTCCAGCCCACAAAACCATTTTTTCCTCCTAGGCCTCTGGGCCTGTGATAGAAGGGGCTGTCATGAAGGCCTTTGGCATGTCGTGGAGACATTTTCCCCATTGTCTTGGTGATTAACATTCAGCTCCTCATTACTTATGCAAATTACTGCAGCAGGCTTAAATTTCTCCCCCAGAAAATGGGTTTTCCTTTTCTATTGTATCATCAGGCTGCAAATTTTCCAAACTTTTATGCTCTGCCTTCTGTTGAATGCTTCGGTGCTTAGAAATTTCTTCTGCCAGATACTCTAAATCATCTCTCTCAAGTTCAAAGTTCCACAGATCTCTAGGGCAGGAGCAAAATGCCACTAGTCTCTTTGCACAGCAAGAGTGATCTTTACTCCAGTTCCCAACAAGTTCCTCATTGCCATTTGAGACCACCTTGGCCTAGATTTTGCTGTTGATATTACTATCAGCATTTTGGTTAAAGCCATTCAACAAGTCACTGGGAAGTTCCAAACTTTCCCACATTTTCCTGTCTTCTTCCGAGCCCACCAAACGGTTCCAGTCTCTGCCCATTACACAGTTCCAAAGTCACTTCTGAATTTTTGGGTATCTTCACAGCAGCACCCATTCTCTGTGGTACCAATTTACTGTTTTAGTCTGTTTTCATGCCGCTTTAAAGACATACTCAAGACTGGGTAATTTGTAAAGAAAAGAGGTTTAATTGACACAGTTCCACATGTCTAGGGAGGCCTCAGGAAACTTACAATCATGGCAGAAGATGAAACAGGCACGTCTTCCATGGTGGCAGGTGAGATAAGTTAGTACAGAGTGAAGGAGAAGCCCCTTATAAAACCATCAGATCTCTTGAGTACTTATTCACTATGAGGAGAACAGCATGAAGATAACTGTCCCAGTTATTCAATTACCTCCCATAGAGTCCCTCCCATGACTTGTGGGGATTATGGGAATTACAATTCAAGATGAGCTTTGGGTGGGAGTGCAGCCAAACCTTATCACACTACCAGCCTGGACTGAAAGGGGCAGAGAGAAGACAAAATGAAGGAAGGCCACCAGATTTCTGGGATTCTAGCAAGAAATGGGCTGATAGAGCTATTCAGTCACAAATATTTGTTCATCTTTAAGAGAAAGGAAGAATTACTCTGAGGGCAGAACCACAGATACAAATATAAAGGCCAGAGACAGCAGGATGACTACCATGGGCCCAGAAAACAGAGGATCAAGCCTCAGAGGATTATTTTCAGACCTTGAGCTGAATGCAGTTTGTCCTGCCAATTTTTGCACTTGCTTCAAACCAGTAACCCTTTTATAACTTCCAATTTCTCCCTATGGAAATGAAAATGTTTATCCTATGCGTGTCCCAGTGGTCCACAGATGGAGAGGATTGCTAAGAATTGCCAGCAATCACCAGAAGCTGTTCTCCAGAACTGTGAGAGAATAAATTTATGTTGTTGTGTTACCCAGTTTGTGGTAATTTATTTCAGCAGCCCTAGTACACTAGTACAGTGTAGAATTAACTTTTATTTCTTTCGTATTATTTTCCTATATGATGGATTTCAACTATTGGATTTTTTGGGACTATGTTTCCTTCTTTAATCGTTTTTATTTTAGTGCTTTTTATGTAGGCTTTATGCCATTCCTTTTTCCTTTAATTATTTTTCATTTGTTCTATTAAGACCTTCTGTTTGCTCCTAGATAATTTTGGAACATTCTTCCTCTCATGTTACTGAGAGGAATTTTTTATTCTTCACACCTTCAATATGAGTATTTTTATATTTCTGATTTAGCATGAAGAGGAAGAGTGAAGTCAGGCTATGGACAATCACGGATAGATTACTTTGCCTGTGCACTCTCCCATATAATTTTGTTAAAAACTCACTGTATAAGAAAAATGGCTAGACTGGGTGCAGTGGCTCACTCCTGCAATCCCAGCACTTTGGGAGGCCAAGGCCTGAGGATCACCAAGGTCAGGAGTTCGAGGTCAGGAGGTCATGGCGAAATCCTGTATCTACAAAAAATACAGAAATTAGTTGGGCATAGTGGCTCACCCCTGTAGTCCTAGCTACTCAGAAGGCTGAGGCTGGAGAATTGCTTGAACCCAGGAGGCGGAGGTTGCAGTGAGCCAAGATCACACCATTGCACTCTTGCCTGGGCAACAAGAGTGAAACTCTGTCTCAAAAACCAAAACAAGCAAACAAAACAAAACAAAAGGCTAAAGACTTCAGTGAGACCTCACAAGAGCATATCCAAATGGCCAATTAACATATGACTAAAAAACACTGAGTTTCCAAGGATCTAGAACAATCCTAAATGTCATTGATTGCTGGCATAAATTAGTTAACCACCTTGAAAAATTGTTTGGAGCATCTATCTATATGTATGGTAATATATCATGTGTTTGCTCTATGAACCAGCAATTAAACTTCTAGATGAATACTCAACAGAGGGGTATTTATGTGTTCACAAAAAGACATGTAAAATATGTTCATAGCATTTCCAAACTGAAAGCTGATCAAAGAACTCAACTGTAAAATGGAAAAAAAACGATTATATGCTCACACAATGGAATACATACAGTAGTAAGAGTGGACAAACTAAAACTACACACAACAATATGCTAAATCTCACAAACATAATATTGAGCAAAAAAGAGATTTAAAAAATCTATTGTATTGACCAGGCATGGTGGCTCATGCCTCTAATCCCAGCACTTTGGGAGGCCAAGGCAGACGGATCACTTGAGGTTAGGAGTTCAAGACCAGCCTGGTCAACATGGTGAAACCCCGTCTCTGCAAAAATATAAAAATTAGCCAGGCATAGTGGCGTGTGCCTGTAATCTCAGCTACTCAGGAGGCTGAGGCAGGAGAATGGCTTGAACCAGGGAGGTAGAGATTGCAGTGAGTCCAGATCATGTCGTTGCACTCCAGCCTGGAGGACAGAGCAAGACACCGTCTCAAAAAAAAAAAAAACTTTTATATAATTCCACCATTTACATAAATTTCAAAACCAGGCAGAACTAATCTGTGAAATTAAAAGTTAGGATAATGTTTATTCTCGGGAGAGATGGATAATGACTAGAAAGGAGCCCAAAGAGGTCCCTGAGGCACTAGCCGTGTTCTGTTACCTGAAGTGATTGCCAGTTATGCAGGCGTTTAAACTTTGTGAATATTAATTGAGATGTATACTTACGACTTATTCATTTTTCTAATTGTATGCTATGACTCAACATTATAGGGTTGAATTATAGGGTTTTTGTATTATTTTAAGTTCAGTGCCTTTAATTTACTCCTTCAGGTTAGGCCATTGTTTGTTTGTTTGTTTTTACTTTAACTGCTCTTAGGATGTAGCTCCTCAATTCACTTACCATCACTCACCAACTGCCACTATCCACCCCATCCCACCCAATTTTTCTTCTCTGTTTTTTAACTACAAATTGTTGGTTCATAGAAAGGGAAATTGAATTCTACCTGCAGCACTCCAAATGCCTCTTCCCTCAGATAATGTTGTTTTATTTCCTCTTCTAGCATCCTTTTTTTAAATTTTATTATTATTATACTTTAAGTTTTAGGGTACATATGCACAATGTGCAGGTTAGTTACATATGTATACATGTGCCATGCTGGTGTGCTGCACCCATTAACTCGTCATTTAGCATTAGGTATATCTCCTAAAGCTATCCCTCCCCCCTCCCCACACCGCACAACAGTCCCCAGAGTGTGATGTTCCCCTTCCTGTGTCCATGTGTTCTCACTGTTCAGTTCCCACCTATGAGTGAGAATATGCAGTGTTTGGTTTTTTGTTCTTGCGATAGTTTACTGAGATGATGATTTCCAATTTCATCCATGTCCCTACAAAGGACATGAACTCATCATTTTTTATGGCTGCATAGTATTCCGTGGTGTATATGTGCCACATTTTCTTAATCCAGTCTATCATTGTTGGACATTTGGGTTGGTTCCAAGTCTTTGCTATTGTGAATAGTGCCGCAATAAACATACGTGTGCGTGTGTCTTTATAGCAGCATGATTTATAGTCCTTTGGGGATATACCCAGTAATGGGATGGCTGGGTCAAATGGTATTTCTAGTTCTAGATCCCTGAGGAATCGCCACACTGTCTTCCACAATGGTTGAACTAGTTTACAGTCCCACCAACAGTGTAAAAGTCTGATCTTTGACAAACCTGAGAAAAACAAGCAATGGGGAAAGGAGTCCCTATTTAATAAATGGTGTTGGGAAAACTGGCTAGCCATATGTAGAAAGCTGAAACTGGATCCCTTCCTTACACCTTATACAAAAATTAATTCAAGTTGGATTAAAGACTTAAACGTTAGACCTAAAACCATAAAAACCCTAGAAGAAAACCTAGGCATTACCATTCAGGACATAGGCATGGGCAAGGACTTCATGTCTAACACACCAAAAGCAATGGCAATAAAAGCCAAAACTGACAAATGGACTCTAATTAAACTAAAGAGCTTCTGCACAGCAAAAGAAACTACCATCAGAGTGAACAAGCAACCTACAAAATGGGAGAAAATTTTCGCAACCTACTCATCTGACAAAGGGCTAATATCCAGAATCTACAATGAACTCAAACAAATTTACAAGAAAAAAACAAACAGCCCCATCAAAAAGTGGGCAAAGAACATGAACAGACACTTCTCAAAAGAAGACATTTATGCAGCCAAAAAACACATGAAAAAATGCTCATCATCACTGGCCATCAGAGAAATGCAAATCAAAACCACAATGAGATACCATCTCACACCAGTTAGAATGGCAATCATTAAAAAGTCAGGAAACAACAGGTGCTGGAGAGGATGTGGAGAAATAGCATCCTTTATACTAGATCTCTAAACAGTTTTAAAGATCAATTGGTTTAGATGATTGTCATCATTTTTCAGACTTCTTTACTCAGCTTGTCCCACTGTAGTGAGCTCTGGTAGACTTGCCAGCCTCTGGTGCATTGGTAGGGAGTGAGTTACATTTTATACTCTCAGAGTGTTTGGTGTGTTTTCCCCAAGCTGACCAGACACTTCTGGCATTCATTTTTTTTTTTTTTTTCTAAATTGTGGTGACTTTGAGAGGGCAGGGAAGAGAGAAGTAAAGGGAATGGAGATCAGCGACATTTTTTAGGATCTAATTCATCTCCTCTCCCCATACTGCTTACAGGATGAATGGAGGAGGAAATCTTCACTATGCCTGTCATATTTTGCCTCTCTTTCCCTGTCTTGCTTATATATCTATGTATTTGATTCTTGCTGCCATACTAAATTATTCTTTTGTACATCTTATAGTTGTTGTTTTAAACTTATTATTTATTTATTTTGGAAGAGAAAGGTCTATCATACAACTTTTTTCCACTATCTTTTCCCAGAAAGCACAGGACAAGTTTCTCTAAAAGCTACTATATATTCGAAGGTACACCAGTAGAGAGTCTACACAAAAACAAACAAACAAACAAAAACAAGACAAAAATAAACCTTGTATTAACCCCTGTAAATAATGATAAAAATAATAAATTCATACAGCAAGTCAAAAATTTTAATGAAGACTCACGCAATATTTGACCCAAGGTGTTAAATAGTAGAATTCGATCAGTTCAGGTCCAGAAGTAGGATGAACATCTCCCTCTTCTCAAAAGACAATTAAGCACTGCGTATTTTCTCCTTGAAGGCAATGACAGTGTCCTATTTACTCTTCACTCCCCTACCCCTACCACTAAGACTCTGGACAAAGTCCAGTTCTAAATAAATATTTGTAATTGAATAAATTAATGGATGAATGAGAATGTAATCTTAACAAATAAAATATAAACATAGCACGTTAATGTTAGAAAAAAGAGAAAAACAGAAAATGTCTCTTTACCATTCCCTTATACTTTTTAAAACAATTTGCTAGCATTGTGCCAAAGAACAAATAAGCATTTAACTTAATAATTAGGAAAAGAAAAGCCTAAGGAAAAAATATTAAAAAAGGCAACATTGGAATTGAATGTATAATAAATAAGTAAATAAGTTGAGAAAACCATAAACTGACTCTCAAATGAACAAAGAAATAGATTTTAAGCCTCACCAGGAAAGGATTGAAAACTAAAGCTCCACATTGATATATTTGAAAAATCCGAATATTTTACCAATAGTAAATGTAATTTCCTAGTAAAACACCCATTTCCAAAACTGCTTCATGAAGAAGAAGAATCTGTGAACTTGTCAAAGTATTCTCTCACACAAGGCACAGGTTCCAAATGATTTCATAACTGAGTTATTTTAAATTCTCAAGGAATAAAAAATTCTTCTTCCTCTTAACTATTTCCGGATTATGGAAAAAGAAGGATTGGCCAGGTGTGGTGGCTCATGCCTGTAATCCCAGCACTGTGGGAGGCCAAGGTGAGAGAGGTCAGGAGTTTGAGACCAGCCTGGCCAACATGGCAAAACTCTGTCTTTACTAAAAATACAAAAAATTACCCAGGCATGCTGGTGTACGCCTGTAATCCCAGCTATTCAAGGGGCTGAGGCTGGAGAATCGCTTGAACCCGGCGGGCAGAGGTTGCAGTCAGTGAGCCGAGATCACACCACTGCACTCCAACTTGGGCTACAGAGCAAAATTCTGTCTCAAAAAAAAAAAAAAAAAAAAAAAGGAAGGATCACTTTTAAGTGCACTTTATAAGGTTAGCATATTGATATCAAAACCTGCCCAGAATGACATCAAAAAAGCTGATATTTATAAAGAGCTTTCTGTATACCAAGAACATTGTAAGTGTTCTAGAAATTTCAATCTATTTATTCCACAAATACTTACGAGACTGAGCATTTCTCTCATCTTACAGATAAGAAAACTTAGGGAAGTTAAATAACTTCTCCAGGATTCCACAATTAGTAAACGGTGGGACAGAGATGGAACCTAGGTAACTTGCATCGAGGAGACAAGCTATTAACCACTATATTTTATGTTTCCCATAGAAAATAGAAACTATCGGCCTATTTCATTTATGAATGATGATGCCACCATCTGAGATAATTTACTAGAAAGTTTATTTCAAAAGTATATTAAATGAAAAAAAGAAAACACATCTACATCATGATGAAAGTAGGGTTTACTCAAGAAAATTAAAAATAGATTAATAGTATAAGAACTATATAATTCTTAAATTGCCATCTGAATTTTATATAGTCTAATCAATCAGAAAAGATATACATACACATATGTGTAACAGAAATTATCATTACTCATAACATAATAAACACACAAATAAAATGAAAAAAATTAAACAATATGAGAATTCGGTACAAGGGTTGCTGAGTAGATTTTGTTGGGCAGGCAACTAAACCCAGAGTCTCCAAGTAGGAGTTGTTAATCAGTTGATTACTCTTTTGAACAGTAACAATAAGGGTAGAGGGTGACCACAAATACTTTACTTGCCACTTAAAATTACTTTGGCCTACTAAGTCATAGATTACTGACTTTAGGAATAGATCTTCATACCTGCCCTTTGGGAGACTGGGAACAAGAATAACATGCTGAGAGGTTGCAGCAAAATTATGATTTCACAGCTGTGAGACAGCCACTTTGATCTGCAAATGTCCTCCCTTTGGGCTTGCTGAAAGCTGAAACCCCATTATTAAAGATCCTTCTTGCTGGCTGGAAGTTTTCATACTGTGTTAAATGAAATGCTTATGGTTAAGATGGTTTACTAACTTTCAAAAGGCATTTCTACCTTAGGACAGGTAATTAAGGGTAAATATATTGGTTTTTCTGGTCCTTAGTTTACTCATTTGTAAAATGAAGCAGTTTGAACAAGATAATTTAAATTTTCTTCCATATCTAACACTTCACGATCCTAGAGTCCTCACAGTCTTCCCTGTAAGTAGGTGCTTACTGTTGTGATGGAGCAGAAGTTCTGAGACCCTGATGATACCAAGAAGGAGCAAAATGGTGAGAGTGGGGAGATGTAAGGACAAGATTCAGGGAGGGTGTCTCACTTTAGGCTGCAATAACAGAATACCATTTCTCACCTCAAAGAATTGCCGCAATAAATATTTTGTGGCTTAACAAACGTGTTTCTCACAGTTCTGGAGGGTGGAAGTCTGTAATCACAGTGCCAGCATGGTCAGGTTCTTAGTGAGGGCCCTTTTTTCCTGTTTATGTTCTCACCTGGATTTCCTTGGTGAGTACCTGCAGAGAGGCAGAGAGAGAGAGAGAGAGAGAGAGAGAGAGTGAGAGAGAGAGAGCACTTTTGCTCTATTCTCTTTCTCTTCTTATAAGGACACAATCCCATCATGGAGGTTCCACCCTCATAACCTCACTTAATTACCTTCGTAAGACCCCACCTCCTAACAATATCCCTTTGGAGTTTTGGTTTCACTGTACTAATTTTGGGTGGATGCAAACATCAGTTAGAGGGCTAAAGACAAATTCTAAATCTTTCAGAACTTTGAAGTGTATACATTATCAAATGATCATTTGCATGTAACACTTTTAAAAATTGTATCAAGTTAAAAGCAGCTGTATAAATTAAAAGTATCGCCGGGCGGGCGCGGTGGCTCACGCCTGTAATCCCAGCACTTTGGGAGGCCGAGGTGGGCAGATCACGAGGTCTGGAGATAGAGACCATCCTGGCTAACATGGTGAAACCCGTCTCTACTAAAAATACAAAAAATTAGCTGGGCGTGGTGGCAGGAGCCTGTAGTCCCAGCTACTTGGGAGGCTGAGGCAGGAGAATGGCGTGAACCAGGGAGGCGGAGCTTGCAGTGAGCCGAGATGGCGCCACTGCACTCCAACCTGGGCGACAGAGCGAGGCTCCATCTCAAAAAAAAAAAAAAAAAAAAGGTATCAAGCATTATTCATTCAGCTTTATTCTGGGACAGGAAGTGACAGAGGGGAAAGCTAAAACTTTTAACAACCACATTACAAACCTGTATTTGTTATTGATGTATAGAAATAAAATTAATTTTTTGGTGACTTTGTATAACTCAACCTTACTAGATTTACTTATTAATTCTAACAATTTATCTGTAGGTTTTTTTTTTTTTTTTTTGAGACAGAGTCTTGCTCTGTTGCCGAGGCTGGAGTGCAGTGGCACAGTCTTGGCTCACTGCAAACTCTGCCTCATGGATTCAGGCCATTCTTGTGCCTCAGCCTCCTGAGTAGCTGGGATTACAGGCACCTGCCACACTCTCAGTTAATTCTTGTATTTTCGGTAGACACAGGGTTTTGCCGTGTTGGCCAGGCTGGTTTCGAACTCCTGGCCTCAAGTGATCTGTCCGCCTCAGCCTCCCAAAGTGCTGGGATTACAGGCGTGAGCCACCGTGCCAGGCCAGTTGTCTACTCTGTATGTTCTTTTACATTTTCTAGGTACATATCATATTATTTGCAAATAACAGCAGTTTTATTTTCTCCTTTCCAAACCCTTTAACATTTTTATTTCTATGTATTGTGCTTATCACCCTAGCTAGGATTTCTTATTCAAAGTTGAATAGGAAGGGTGCTAAATAGTATACTTGCCTCATCCTTGCCATTGTAATTCTATTGTTTTACATATTTAATATTAATTTATATGTATCTATCTACTTACCTTTGCATTGTTCTTTCTGAAATTTCACCTGCATTCTTTTCTATCTGCAAGAATACCCCTTAATATTTCTCTTGGTTTGGATCTGTTGCTAACAAATGCTATTTAGTTTATCTTTATCCTTCAAAAACATATTTTTTCAAAGCTTTAAAGGCTATCTTTTTATTGTCTTTGGACATTCATTCTTCCTGTTGGAAATTCAGCTACCAGCCTTATTTTTAGTTCTATGAGTTCAAGATTGTTCTTCCTTCATTACCAACAAGAGGCAAATGTAATGCTCTGTGAAGAAATATAATATCAAACTAAACTTAGAATTATTTCACAATATTTTACATACAATTTCCAACATTCAGTCAAAAATAACAAGGCACATGAGAATAAAAAAGAACAGAAACAAAACTTTGGGGAAACAATAGGCAATAGAACCAGGCAAGTATCCAGAAGTAATGATATTATTAGAAATATATTTTAAAATAATTATGTTTATTATGTTCTGAGACATAAAAGACAAGCTTGAAAATATTGACACACAAATGGAAACTTTAAAAAGGAAAGAATTGACTGGGCGCAGTGGCTCACACCTGTTATCCGAGGCCCACGGATCACAAGGTCAGGAGTTCGAGACCACCCTGGCCAACATGGTGAAACCCTGTCTCTACTAAAAATACAAAAATTAGCTGGGCATGGTGGCACATGCCTGTAATCCCAGCTACTCGGAAGGCTGAGGCAGGAGAATCACTGAACCCGGGAGGTGGAGGTTGCAGTGAGCCGAGATAGTGCCACTGCACTCCAGCTTGGGACAGACTGAGACTCCATCTCAAAAAAAAAAAAAAAAAGAAAGGAAAGAACTACGTCAAAACTAAATATGTAATTAATGACCTTATTAATTATATAAATATATGTTATATATTTATGTTATATAATTATGTTATATATTTATGTTGTATAATTATATATATTATATACTTTGTAATATATATTATTTATATATTATATAATAATATACATATGTATATTATTATATATTATATAATAATATACATATAATGTATATTATTTATATATTATAATATATACATATTATATAAAGATATAATATATCATTTATAATATATATAAATATATAATTATATAATGTATATTATATTTATATATATTTATATATAAATATATATTTCATATATATTTTATATTTTATATTTTATTCATAATAAAAATATTATATATTTTTATTTAATATATTTATTTAATAAATATATTTTTATTATTTTATATATATATATTTAAATATATATATTTAAATATATATATTAAAAATATATATTTAAATAATATATTTATTTAATAAATATAATATATTTTATTAATATATATAATAAATATATTATATTTGATTATATAATATATAATATATTATATTTGATTATATATTATATTTGATTATATAACATATTATATATTATATTATATTATATTATATTATATTATATTATATTATATTATATATACCATTGCTTTCTTCCCCCAAATGAGCCTTTTCCTCCTCTGCACCTTTTCCCAAAAAGATGCCTGCATATAGGGGAAGAAAGGGTTTATATGGTCTCTTGGTAATGGGAAAAAGCAAGCTGTTATGAACTGAACTGTTTTGCCCTCAAATTCATATGTTGAAGCCCTAACTCTCAATGTGACTGTATTTGGGAGATGGGGGCTTTACAGAGGTAATCAAGGTTAAATGTGGTGGTATGGGTGGTAGTTTAATCTGATAGGACTAATCCTCATAAGAAGTGAAAGAGAAGGCCCAGCATGGTGGCTCATGCCTGTAATCTCAGCACTTTGGGAGGCCGAGGTGAGTGGATCACCTGAGGTCAGGAGTTAGAGACCAGCCTGGCCAACATGGCAAACTCTGTCTCTACTAAAAATGCAAAAATTAGCCGGGCATGGGGCAGGCACCTGTAATCCCAGGTAGTCGGGAGGCTGAGACAGGAGAATCGCTTGAACCTGGGAGGTGGAGGTTGCAGTGAGCCGAGATCCTGCCACTGTACTTCAGCCTGGGCAACAGAGTGAGACTCTGTCTCAAAAAAAAATTATACATATATAATATAACAAATATATGTATATATGTAAGCACTGTTCTAACCCTCTGATTTGCAAAATATTCAATAATGAAGGCACAAGAGAAGACGGCCATGCAGCCGCAAAGTCAGAGATTGGGAGATTCATTAAGTGAGGCTAAGGAAAAAAGGTTTGTTTCATTTCTCTTGTTGATTCTGAGGCATATACGAAATGTGTGAAATAATGAGGACTATCACACACTGTTTGTGTGTATGTTATTTATTAAACTGCACATATCACATTGTATTTAGGTAACTCAATTATGTTGATGAGACTCTTCTGAATACTCTTTCACTCCTGCATGCCTTTGAACATACTGTTACCTTCACTTGGAAAATCTTTCCCCTCAATCTACTTAATGAGCTCCTAGATATGTTCTTAATTTTCCAGGGATACTGCAACAAAGTGCAACTGGTGCTTAGAACAAGAAAAATATATTGCCTCACCAGTCCGGAGATTAGAAGTCTGAAATCAATGTGCTGGCAGAGCTGTGCTCTAAGATTTTCTAGGGGAGAATCCTTCCTTGACTCTTCTAGCTTCTGGTGTTTGTCAACAACCTTTGGTGTCCTTTGGCTTGTAGGTGCATCACTCAATCTTTGCTTCTGTTATCACATGGCCATATTATCCCCGACTAAATTAGTGTCTCTGTTTCTGTGTGTCTTCTCTTCATCTTAGAAGGACACCAGTCATACTGCATAAGGGTCATCCTACTCCAGTATGACCTTTTCTTAGCTAATTCCATCTGTGACAATCCTGTTTCCAAATTAGAGTACATTCTGTGGTTGCAGGAAGGACATGAATTTTGCAAGGACTCTATTCAACCCAGTAAAGTATCCTTTGGCACTTTCCTCAAAGACAGTCTCATTTCTGAAGTGTGTGTGTGAGTGTGTGTTTCTTTTAACTAACCACTTTGGACATTCTTTCATCAAGGCACATATAGCTGTAGCTACTGTTTCTCTCTCTTCCTCTCTCCCTTACTAGACTAAGACTTAAGAAAAGGGAATATTCTATTTATCTCTATGTCTTAAGGACCTACCAGAATGGCTAGCATATGTGTGTACTTAGAAAATATTTATGAAATAAAATGAATAAATTACCCTTCCCTGAAGTCCTAAAGACTACAGATATAAAGACAAATGGAGACACCTCCCCCAGCACGAGCTACAGAAAAGTGGAACAGGATATAGTCACATTCAGCCTTCAACAAAGAGCAGCTTATAGTTATCTTTAACTTTTCTTGAAATCTATATAAATAAGGTGAAATTTTGTCTCTTTATCTGCTAGTACATAACAACAAAAAAAGTTGCATGATAAATTCTTAGCAAGCACAAAGGTTAAGTTTTGGATTGCCTAACTTAAAACATGAGTGAGATGACTTATGCTCATGTGGAGCCCTGGGAGGTGCCTTAAATAGACAGGCAGTCAGTCACCCTCCAGAGCAGGCTGAGCTGAGGTAAAGTGAGAGGGTGGTGACTAATTAGAAGCATTTCATACATAATATGACACTGTGGTCATAAAAGACAGTGCTTTCAAATATGGACTCAAGTTGTAGATATATACACTGATGTTCCAAATTGTTGTAGTTGCTGTGCAGTGGAGCTACTTCTCACATAGGCAGTTCCATGAACTGCCTTTCAGGGTGAATAGGACAGGGATTTAATTATTTAAGTAATTCAGGAGTGTTTCACTATTCACTTAGCAGAGCGAAGGGCTATTAGACCAGGAAGACAATTCTAGATGTCGTCTAGTCCAATTTTCATTTTATATAGAAATGAAGCTAAGGTTTACAGTTTAAATAAATATTCTACAGTCCACAAATTAATTTTTAAAGAGCATTTAATGACAGAAAATTAGCATTTTATAGTACTAGTTTAAGTATGTAACATTATGACAATGTAATTTAAAAAATGTGTATGAGCTTAGAAAAAGATTGAAAGACTATACAGTAAAAGGAAATAATCACAGATGTGAATATGCATGATTATTGCCCTCTTTGTATTTTTTTGAAGTTTCCTGTTTTCTATAAATAAGTAATATGAGTTGCTCTAGTTGATTCCAGGGCTGGTTTCCTTAAACTTCTTTGCTCACTCTCTCCTTGCCTGCTCATTGCCATCTCCTCAACCCAATAGTGGAGGCACCTCCTTGTAAACCCTAGTTTTCCATGGAGTGAGTATCGTCGTTTGAAAGTAATTGAGCTAAATATTAAATAATTTTTCCCCAAATTGAGTCATTTGTGTATTATGGTAATAACTTTTGATGAATCTGAATATCAATTGAATATTACTTATGTAATGTGTTTTCTATCAATAAACTCACTTCCTTTAACTAAAATACATGGTGTAATGACATTTTATATTGCTGTCACTGGATGACTGATTGAAAATCTATGTCACTTACTGAAAAAGTAAGTACAATGAAAAAATTCTAGCTTGGTACTCTCATCTGCTGAAAGCCTGAGACTAAGGACTGCTCTCTGTTGAGAAAAGTGATCAGCTATTACTACAGAGATGTTACACAAATATAATTTCCAAGATGAGACTTTTTTCTTGACCTAAGTGAATCTAAAGAGAAGTCAAAATAGAATACCATTCTTACAGTGAGATTTATCCTTATATAATAACTCTGTATACCCCTACAACCATCTCACCTCCTAACATTAGAACGCATAGCATGTTTTAGAACTCACCGATTTAGAGACTATAAAGGAACCATGAGTAATAAGGCAGAATATTTAGGTTGGATTCATATAATGTATTTTCTGGATGTAGATAATGTTGAAGAAAGCTATGCTTTCCTTGTGCTTGCAAAAGATTCTCCCAGAGACTTTATTTGTAGTTATTATTCCAACAATTATTTGGGAGAAAACACAGGCAATTTGAAAAAAAAAAAAAAACACCTCTCATTCAAAGATAAAATAGATTTTTGTATGTTTTAAAAATTTATATAACAGATTTAGCTTTTGCAATTTATTTTCCTTTTTTTTTTTTTTTTTTTTTTTTTTGGGAGACTGAGTCTCACTCCATCACCCAGGCTGGAGTGCAGTGGCACCATCTTGGCTCACTGCAAACTCCACCTCCCAGGTTCAAACGATTCTCCTGCCTCAGCCTCCTGAGTATCTGGGATTACAGGTGCGTGCCACCATGCCTGGCTAATTTTTGTATTTTTAGTGGAGACAGGGTTTCACCGTGTTGGTCAGGCTGGTCTTGAACTCCTGACCTCGTGATCTGCCCACCTCGGCCTCCCAAAGTGCTGGGATTACAGGCATGAGCCACTGTGCCCGGCCCTTATTTTCCTTTTGAAATACTTTCAAACACTTCACCAAAAAAGATATATGGATAACAAATAGACACATGAAAAGACACTTAACATCATTAGTCATTAAGGAAATGCAAATTAAGACCATAATACACCATCATACACCAATTACAATGGCTAAAACTAAAAAGATTGACTGTACCAAGAGTTAACAAGAATGTAGGGCAAATGGAATGCTTATACAGTACTGGTGTGAAAAATGCTACAACCACTTTGGAAAATAGTTTGGCAGTTTGTTAAATAGTTAAACATTACTGCCACAGGATTCGGCTATTGCACTCCTAGATATTTACCTAGGAAAAGTGAAAGCATATGTTCATGTAAAGACTTAAAAATGAATTTTCACAGAAGCTTTATGTGTAATAGCCCCAAGCTATAAATTAAACAAATTTCTATCAACAAGGGAATTGATAAACAAACTAAGGGATATCCATTCAATGGAATACTATTCAATAATAAACAAAAGAATGAACTAATGCTACTATGTGAATGAATATCAGCATAATTATGCTGAATGTAAAAAGGCAAAAAAAGAGTGTATACTGTGTAATTACATCTATATAAAATTCTAGAAAATGCAAACTAGTATACAAACGGTATAGTAACAGAGAGGCAATCAATGGTTGCCTAAGAATAAGAGATAGGTGGGGAAGAGCAGCAGGGAGACATCACCAAGGCACAAGAGGTACTTTTAGAAGGTGACGGATAACTTTATTATCTTGATTGGATGACTCTTTCATGGGCATATACATAATAAATGTCACATTTTATTAAATTATACACTTAAATATGTGCAGTTTATTGTTATGTCAATTACGCATTAATAAAGCTGTTGAAGCCAAAATAATTCCTCCCAAAACTTGAATATTTTAGGCTGGTCTGACACGGTGTCACTGGTGTCATGATATCAGCTACATTTTTTTGTTTCTATACTTTTAACTACATTTCACATTCTAACAGGCCTAGCATAGCATGTGCTAAAGTAGCACAAGTTTTATTAAATTAGGCTTAGCAGGCATAAAATCTGAAAATACAGAATTTTGCAGACCTAGAGAGTTATTGAAAGTTTTTGAACATCTGAGTGAGTAAAATATTCTGAGTTTCTATTTAATCGACCAGGAAATAATGTGAACAATGAATTGAGATCAAGAAAAGATGAAATAGTGTCTTTCTAAGGATAATGTTCAAAATGTTAGTATAATAATCCAGGGAAAATAAGAGAATAGAATTTCTGCTGCCTAATGTTGGCTTTGGAAATAAAGTGTAGGGAAAAAGATTCAAGAGATCCTGTGGAGTTGATAATGCTGAGATTTGTAAATTCATTGTTTGTTGGGGAATAATAAAGGACTCATCGAAGGCCACTGGGATGTGTCAAGCCTAGATGAACTGGAACAAGGCTGAGCCTGTAAAGTATATAGGTTTCACGAGAGCATGGGTTTGTGAAGCATTCTACAAATGAAAGGAAAAGGGGGGAATATGTTGGACTAATTTTTGTAGGTTTGGGAGTTGTCTGCCATGAGATCAAAGCTGAAATAATGATATGGATAAAAACAGTCAAGGAAGAAATTCTAGAAAGAGAGAGATGAAAAGAGAAGAAATGATGCTTTATTTAGTAGGCAAATGGAGGACAAAGAGGAGGGAGAGACCAGTACAATGTTGTAGAAGCTAAGAGAACTGAAAGTTCAAGAAATAGATGTATTAAAGATTAAGAAATGTCATCAGGCTAGAAATAACAGAGAAAATTAAAGATGCTTTCAGTGAGAGGGATGAAAGAATTGATCAGCTCGTGGCAACTCAGAGTTGAGAGAGGTTTGTTAAGGCCCAGGATGACTGAGCTCACAAGTGAATGACTTGGAAGGAAGATGAAAATCCCAGTAATTGAAGAGCACTAACCTGGCCCTTTTTCTTTGAGACACCTTCAAATAATATTATTCGTATCATTCCTTGTTATAATGTGAAATTTTGCCTTAGCAATTTATTCATGATATTACAGGAAGAGAAACATTGTACTTTATGGAGAACCCTTCTTATTTTATTAACACCTACTTAAATAGTGACTGGAGAAATTAATATCACCCTGAGTTCCTAGGCAGGAAGAAACTCACTGGGTTTCAAATGAGTAAAAAGCAATACCATCAGATTAATGGACTAGGAATAGGCTCCATTACCTTCAGCTATTTTAATATCCTAGTACTCAACAAGAATGTGACTCCCTTGCCCTTGTCCATGTGATGTTGGTTAACGTCAGCAGAAGGACCTTATTGAGAACTGCCTCCCTACCCAGCCCCAGAAGCAACAGGAAATGGGTATGACCAGAGGGAACAGGAAGAGATTGTTTTCCTTTTGGAATGTAACTGCCGCCTCTACCAATAACCACTAGATAAGACAGGTGGACGATGCAAACAGACAACAACTCTCCTATAAGAATATAGTTAGTGTGATTGAGACAAAAGCAAGACAATCATATTGTTTAATGTTTTTGGAGCTATTTTTCAATTATATACAATATTGCACTAGTCAAATGGGCTCTCTTAACACTTTTATTTCTTTAATTTTTCTGGCCTAGTTTTAAAATTTATGGTGCATTAATGTGCATTGAATAAGCTTTTGTGAAATAACATCCTAAATCACTATACTTGAAAAGATTTCTTACATTAAAAGCATCTTGTGACAAGGAGCAGTTCGTTTCTTTAGGATTTGACTTTGAGATATTTTAAACAGTATAATGAAAGTATACACCAGAAGCCACTATGTACATACATCTGCATAAACAGATCAGGATGAGTTTTTAAAAGTGTTCTTTTTGCTTGGACTTAAAGGATCTAGGTAAATGCAATAATCTGACTTGGTAAGAATGCTTGTGGTAAGAATGACCAGCTGATGAAAAGGATTAAGAATGATGGGGTTCAAGATAAGCTTTATCTTTGCAAAAGGATTGGTACGGTATAAAGCATAAATAAATAAAGCATGGAACATAAAAGTCTAAAATTTAGATATTTCTATTTCACCTGGCACTTTTCCTGGAAGCATTAAGGATCCAAGAGAAGTTGGGAATTGATTACATTTTGAATATGATTTTTTCAAGTTAAGACATATACTTTCCCACTCAGGAGTTGCTTAGAAGACGCATTTCTTCACCTTGCTTGTCCTAGTTTTGATTATCTGGAATCCGCACCTCTGCCAAACATCAGAGTCAGAAAGAACCAGAGATTTAAAGGTTAATCATGCCAAAATTGAGCAGATGTCCCCCTGAGAAAAATCTGGGGTGTTTGGGTTTATTCCTGTGGCTGCTGCTGTGTAGTATTCAATACCCTGCTCTCGCCCCCAGAGTCAGGGCCACAGCTGTCCACAGGAAATGCATCAGAGAGGTCTAATGTGAATGAATCATATGCACATGTTCCTTGGTATGTGGTGATGGGCATACCAAGGGCTCAAAATCAGCCCTCCCTCCAGGCCAGAATTGGTTCCAGGCTTGTGAATGCAAACTATCCACACAAGTTGTGCTGTGAAACTACCCTCCTTTCCCGTTTCTCTGCGTATTGCCAGTAAAGGAATTTTAGTGTGTTGCTGGGATGAAACACATAATCATCTGGGAGACATGAGGGGATAAGCATATCTCTGTAACTGAGCTTAGTCACATCCTCATACGCGTAGCACGTGCAGCATGTTAGGGAGGGACTTTCCTGCCCGACCGTATCAGCACATGGAACAGTTTAGCCAGGGAATAGGCCCAATTCTATGTTTTGAAATTTAATTTTCAGTCACTCAGCTGTAGTCAATTGAAAAACTGCTTAGTGAGTGACTGTTTTCAAATAATCATTTGGTAATTATAGGGTATTTTTTCTTGAATGAAATTTGGAGGTATAATATTTCTGAGTCGTATTTCTCCCATCATCACAATTAATTATTGCATTTGGCATGTAACAAATATTTAGATGTTTTACCAAATTGTCAGGAGTGGCAAATATCTCATTGTATGACAGTAATGCTACAATTTCAACAAGATGTCCATCATCCTATCCACAACTCACCACCACCACCACTATCAAATGTTCCCTATCTCAATGAAGTGACAGATCTATCCAGTTGCCTGATACTGTAGGAGTCATTCTGGATTCTTTCTACTTTACTTTCAATATGAAAAAGTCGCTAAGTCCTATGGATTTTACCTCAAAAATCTCTCCAATTGCCTTAGATCACTTATTTATTTTTAAAATATCTCTCATAAGAATCACTGTCGGCCGGGCGCGGTGGCTCACGCCTGTAATCCCAGCACTTTGGGAGGCCGAGGCGGGTGGATCATGAGGTCAGGAGATAGAGACCATCCTGGCTAACAAGGTGAAACCCCGTCTCTACTAAAAATACAAGAAATTAGCCGGGCGCGGTGGCGGGCGCCTGTAGTCCCAGCTACTGGGGAGGCTGAGGCAGGAGAATGGCATGAACCCGGGAAGCGGAGCTTGCAGTGAGCCGAGATTGCGCCACTGCAGTCCGCAGTCCGGCCTGGGCGACAGAGCGAGACTCCGTCTCAAAAAAAAAAAAAAAAAAAAAAAAAGAATCACTGTCCTAGCCCTTTAACAGATCTCCTTGCCTCCATCCTTTCCCATCCTCCTCATTCCCATCAATGCAACACAGGCATTATAACGGACACTCCGACTTTATTGCTCCACTGCACAAAATTCCACCATGCCAAAAAGAGTAAACACTTTTCCATCACATGCAAATCTACTGTAAATGCTTGTTTGCATTTTTCTTACCCACTAAACTGTGGATTCCCTGATTACATAATCATTACATCTTCTGTTTTCTTTGTATCTATAATATTCTACACAGAGTTTTCTTGCTTTTTCATTCAACATTATTTTTCTCATTTGCTTAGCTGCAACTGGTTATTTTGTATTCTGTGTAGTTTAGCTGCAGTTGGTTTGTTTGTTTGGTTGGTTGGTTTGTTGGTTTGTTTAGGGCAGTTGGTTATTTTGTATTCTGTGCAGTATTCTATTTTATGAATGTATTACAGTTATCTATCCATTCTCCTATCAATGGACTTTTGTATTGTTTCTACTTTTTTGAAAATTATTATAGACCATGCTGCTACAGAATCTTGCACATATCTGCAGGTTTTTTCTGAGACTGCACCTAAAGGTAAATTTGTTGGGCTGTAAGTCATGTGTTTCTTTAAAAATTCTGGATAATATAAATGTTTTCTAAAATTGTTTACCAAAGTTTACCAAAGTTTAGTTTTTTAAAAACTATGTTGGCCTCTCAAAACTTTTATTAGCCTATAAAATGTAATGTTTAGAGTTATCGTTTCCTTGGAAATCAATAGGATCTCTGCTGGAAAAAGTTCATTTGCATGGTTTTAAACAAGAATCATTTGTATTGTTATGTTTCCTACAAATTACTAAACTAATCCATTTTTATCACTACCGGTTTCCAACAAGGGCAAATTTTTCCGAGTTGTGGAATAGCTTGGTCAATGAAAAGTCAACCGAAGGTGCATATCCCAATAGAATCACATAATCTCTGGAGGATCTACTAGCCAGGGATCTGCAAACTACAACCAGTCAGCTAAATCCAATAGAGGTCAGTGGCCCATTTCCGAGCCTACAAGTTAAAAATGATCTTACATTTTTAAGAACAAACAGACATTAAAATGAAGAATAAATAGAAACGACCACAGCACAGGAGATGTGCAGTCTCATTAATTAATAAGTAAATGCCAGCTAAAACTCCAAATAAAACCAAGTCTTACTCACCTGACTTCTTATACACCACTAATAGAAATATCAATTTAGACACTAATCAGTGCATGAAGTCTACTAAGCCTTGTGCACCACATTAATTTGCTGTAAATAGAATGTTTTAAACAATAGTAGTGGGTAATAATAAAACACAATGACATTAATTTTAGAAAAGAGTATCAATTTGTACAATCTGCCAGAAGAGGAAAAAAAAGTGTCCTTGTAAAGAACAAAACCAATTATTGGCTGTCTTTTCAGTAGAATTCTGGCCATTTATTATCTGTATCAAGCCAGATAATAAATGTTTTAGGCTTTAAGGATGATTTAAGTCTCTGTTGCATATTCTTTTCTTGCCTTTTTTTTTACAATGCTTTTTTAAGGATATATCTATATATTTATACCAATGCCTATCTGTCTATCTATCTATAGGACTGTAGATGGGTCTTTTAAGGTTGTGTTTTCTCATGTTTTTCTCTTGTAAAAACGCAATTAATTTTTTAATATTGATCTTTTATCCAACAATCATATTACTGTCTTATAAATATGAGTAATATTTTGTAGATTACTTTGGTTTTTCAGTATTGATGATCATACTACATAATTTACCAATATTTAATTAGTTATTTCTTCTTTTCTATTGACTTCTCTTCATCTCTCCTTCCTTTTCCTCTCTCTCTCTCTCTCTCTTTTCCAACTACACCATCCAGGCCTTCTAACACAATACTTACTACTGAACTCATATTTAATTTTAATTTGAAGGTAAAAGAAAACTATCTCTGGTCATTTTTATGTACTACTGCATTCAGTTTACTTTCTTAGGATTTGTTGTTTTCTTTTTCTAACTTTCTAAGTTATATGCTCACCTCATTAAATTTTAGCTTTTTCACTCCAAAATAAAATTATTTAAGGCTACAAATTTTCTGCTATTGATAGATACCTCAATTGACATATATTGATAAGAAATATTTTTATTGCATTCAGTTATAGGTTTCTTCACTTCCGTTATGATTTGCTCTTGCTCTTTGATTTATGTGTGTGTGTGTGTTTCCTTTCTTTCTTTCTTTTTTTTTTGAGACAGAGTCTCACTCTGTCACCCAGGCTGGAGTGCAGTGGCATGACCTCAGCTCACTGCAATCTCCGCTTCCCACATTCAAGCGATTCTCCTACCTCAGCCTCCTGAGTAGCTGGGATTACAAGCACGTGCCACGACACCCATCAGATTTTTGTATTTTTAGCAGAGGGGAGGTTTCTCCATGTTGGCCAGGCTGGTCTCGAACTCCTGACCTCAAGTGATCCTCCCGCCTCAGCTTCCCAAAGTGCTGGGATTACAGGCATGAGTTACCACACCTGGCCAATTTATGTGTTATTTTAAGGTGTTTGTGTGCATTGTTTAACAATTTCTAGATATATATGTGGTTTTATATTTATTTAATCATGTTAAGGTCCAAAAATGTGTTATGAAAAGTCTTTGAGATTCACTGTAGCTTATTTAATAGTTTGGCATATAATCAATGTTTATAAATATTCCATAGGTGCTTAAAAAAATATACAGTCTCCAATTCTTGGGTGAAATGTTCTATATATTTCTATTGGATTATCTTTTAATATTGTTATCCAGATCTTCTATATCCTTACTGATTTGTGCACTTGACATATCAAATATTGAGAAAGGTGTATTAAAATCACCCATTAACATGGGTGATTTTACCCTTTTAATTCTTATATTATTTTTTGTAGTATTTACTTAAAATTTATGATACTAGATGTAATCAAGCTTAGAATTTTATCAATGTTATCAGCCTGCTGAATTGATTAATCTCTTTTTTTGGTAAAATTTTAGTTTTATTACAACTTTACTATACCAGCAATCCTTCACTTATATTTGTTTGATATATTTTTTGAACTATTTTACTTTCAACTATGCTATAGCCTTATGTTTTAAGTGTGTCTCTTTTAAACAGAAGACAGCTGAATTTTGTTTATTTGTTTGTTTTATGCCAATCTGTGTCTTCTAACTGGAGAATTTGGTCCAATTATATTTATTGCAATTAATATATTTTGATTTATTTCTAGCATTTTATGTTATACTTCCTATATGTTCTTCTCTAATACTTTTTATTTTTCTGTCCTCCTTTAGATTGACTTATGTTTAATTTTGTTTTTTCTTTCTGCAAAACTTGACCTTATGCACTCTATTTTTATCTTTTTTGTGGTTGTATTAGTACTTTTTACATACATAATTAACCTAATAAAGTCTAAAGTATATAATTAATCAATATCATTATCCTTCTTTCCAACAACATAAGTAAGGACTTCATTTTATTTATTTAGCCAGGGTCTCACTATGTTGCTCAGGCTGGTCTCAAACTTGGGCTCAAGTGATTTTCCTGCCTCAGCCTCCTGAGTAGCTGGGACTACAGGTGCACACCACCAGGCCTGATTGAGTAAAGACTTCAGAGTGCTTTAATTCTAATTAAACTCTCCCAGCTTACACACCCCGTTGTCTGGTTTTTTAGTTGATCTTTTTTATCACCATTCTTTTATTTTTGTTAATGTTTGCTTAGATTTATTTATGTTGTTACTATATTCTTTGCTTATCATTCTTTCTCACATATCAGATCTTCCATAAACTATTATTTTGCTTCCTAAATTCATTCTCAAGAAGTTCCTTTGGTTACAGTCAGTGGTGGGAAGTTTTTCAATTTTTATTTTGAACAGTCTAGCTTGGACTACTTTACCATAGATCTTTAACTTGGAAATACTCAGGCTACACAATTAGTATAAATTCTATTCCTACATCCATTTGAAGTCTGGCCAAATCATGAATTCTTACAGAAAGTTTTTGTTGTAAGTTTACCAGCCTGAGTCAGGACTGAAAAAAGCAAGTATATCTATGTTTCTTGTGGAAGAGTAGGGGTGAGGAGTCGGAGTTGGGGCTGAGTTTCATTTTTTGTTAGCCCACATTTTCACTTTGCCCTGGACTACACTTTGTATGAAGTCCCTTGGCACTTGCAAGTCCTGTTAAAGTGAAAGCTCTAGGTCGCTTAAGTCCAGTGAGGCCTCTTGAAATGGATAGATACCACCAGGACAGCTACTGTTTTCAGCACTCACATATCCTTCTTGATTTTTTTGTCGGTATTACAAGAAAGACATCTTGATCCAGACCCCAAAAGAGGGTTCTTGGACCTCTTGCAAGAAAGAATTCAGAATGAATCCATAAAGTGAAATCAAGTTTATTAGGAAAGTAAAGGAATAAAGAATGGCTACTCTATAGGCACAGCAGCAGCATAGGCGGCTTGACTGAGTAAACTTACAGTTATTTCTTCATTATATGCCAAACAAGGGGTAGATTATTCATGAGTTTTCAGGGAAAGGGGCAGAGATTTCCTGGAACTGAGGGTCCCTCCCCTTTTTAAACTATATAGGTTAACTTCTGGATGTTGCTATAGCATTTGTAAACTGTCATAGCACTGGTGGTAGTGTCTTTTAGCATGCTAATACATTAAAATTTACATATAATGAGCAGTGAGGACCACCAGCGGTCACTTTCATGGCCATCTTGGTTTTGGTAGGTTTTGGCTGGCTTCTTTACAGTATCCTGTTTCATCAGCACAGTCTTTCTGACCTATACCTTGTGCCAACCGACCTCCTACATCATCGTATGACTAAGAAGGTCTCACCTCCTGGGAATTCAGCCCAGCAGGTCTCAGCCTTATTTTACCCGGCCCCTATTCAAGATGGAGTTGCTCTGGTCCAAATGCCTCTGACAGCTCTCTTTGTTTTTGGCTTCTAAGATTTTCTTTTACTTGCCTGCTGGCTCAATGGTGCATATAAAAATGCACTATAGCATTTTTAAAGGACTTAAAAAAATTCATCAAGCATTTGTGTCACACACAGTGGTTTTTAAGGATCCATTCTGCAAACTGCTAGAACCAATGCATTCCATTCTTAATAACTTATGTATGGCCACCAGGAGGGCTACTTTCTCCTCCATTCCTATAAGTGGCCAAACTGAGTGATCTTGGACCACCTCAGTAAGCCTCAGTTGTCTAAATTTACTTACTGTAAATAGTTGGGGACTCTTTAAGATCCCTTAAAAAAATTATCTCAAACTTGCACAAACTTCTGGGAGGAGATTTAGCATTCTTGATTTAAAAACAAACAAACAAACAACAACAACAAAAACCCTAAGTTTCTAATCAACTTTAATGAAATCAAGATATTGTAAGGGAGATGTGGGTAGTCCAAGCTACTTAAGAGGCTGAGGCTGAAGGATTGCTTGAGCCCAGAGTTAGAGACCAGCCTGGGCAACACAGTCAGACCCTCATCTAAACAAAAAAAAACGAACAACAGCAACAACAACAAAAAACAGAAAGAAAAGAGAAAAAGAAAAAAATATTTGTTCTGGGAAACCAGTTACCAATCCATACTGTCGACTATCAGCTGAAAGTCAGAGTCTAAAATTAACTCTAAGTAGGCATTTTTTTTTTCTTTTGTCATACATTTTAAGTAAATCCTTTTTTTTCCTTTAAAAGAGTCCTCACCGCCAGGCATGATTGCTAACACCTGTAATTCCAGCACTTTGGGAGACCGAGGTGTGTAGATCACTTGAGGCCAGGAGTTTGAGACCAGCCTGGCCAATATGGAGAAACCCCGAAAGTAAAAGTACACACACACACACACACACACACACACACACACGCAAGCAAAATTAGCTCGGTGTGGTGGTGCGTGCCTGTATTTCCAGTTGCTCAGGAGGCTGAGGCAGGAGAATCGCTTGAACCCAGGAGGCAGAGATCACACCACTGCACTCCAGCCTGGGCGACAGCACGAGACTCTGTAGGAAAAAAAAATTCCAGTTGAGATGCTTTCCAGGGCGCTAGTCAAGCCCCGCATGCTTATTTGTGGGAGTGAAAACACCAATATTTCGGGATTGTTGTGAGGACTAAATAGTGTCTGTAAGATGCACAGAGAAAGCGTAAATAGACGTCAATAGCACTTGTTAGGTCTACACACTCCATTTTTCCTCTATATTAATCGAATTATTTAAAGATTGGTTAGCTTTTTGGGGAAATGTCTCTCCATTGTATTCCACTTATTAGGATGAACTACCTTTTCTCCTTGCTTTTCAGCTTTCTCTGCTATGAAAAAGATGGAAAATTTTTTAGCACAAGGGGACTCTTCTCAAGCAGCAAATCATTTTGATATTAAAAACAGATAATTGCAAACCCAGTTTTATTTCAGTATGAATTCCGCAGTGGAGTGTGAATATGTGTGTGTATGTGTGTGTGTGTGTGTGTGTGTGTGTGTGTGTAATTACCTGTGATTCAAAAGAGGAAAGGGATCAGTATTAAAGGTACTTGTACACTGGAAGCAAAAAAAAAAGGAAGTTTAGTTCCTCTGAGCTCCTTGGCAATTATAGCTGCTAAAGGTAGCTTTTACAAAGAAACTGCCTTTGTGCCTAAAGTATTTATTTCCTTGTTTGTATTTACCCCTTTGAGGAGGAATCGCTGTGTCTTGAGTGAAAGGGGTACGCTGCTTGCTTGCATTAAACTGTGAGGGTCCAGGCGCATTACGGCTGATTTCAGTAGGTAGAGCAGACACACTTTAGTTTATTTTTCTCTTTCTCACTCCCCACCCTCAACCTCCGATGTACACACGTTTTAAGATTCCCTGAAGTCAGGAGGTGGGAGCGGAGAGTTTCAGTTCAGATCTTGACATGAGAGTACTTCGACCAAGGAAAAGAAAGGGAAGAAAGAGGGAAGCGGGGTGGAGAAAGCAGGAGCAAGGAAGGAAAGAAGGAAACGGGGAGGGAGAGTAAGAAAAAAGAAAACGAAGGAGGGAGGGAGAGAGGACATTTAAATGAAGAAGGAAGGAAGCTTGGATTCAGGGAGGAAAGGGAGCGGGAAAGAGAGCGAAAGAAGAGCGTGAGAAGAGGCAAGCATTATAGTCTCCGGTCCACAGGGGAGAGATGGAGCCCCCTCAGGACTAGAGAATCCCGAAGAGCCCGTGTATTGTTTTCTTGAAAGCCCCGAAGCTAAGCAATTCTAAAAATGTTTAGCAAAGCCCTTTTGGGAATGGTGAGATGGGGGGTGGGGAGGATGGGACATTTTCATTGCCACCGCCCGCCCCCCGTCTCCCCGGCCCCCTCACATGAAGTGACTGGATTTGGGAGACCTAGCGGAAACCTTCAGGTCACCCAGGGAACTGCTCCTCTCTCTGGTCCTGCAGCGGCGAGGCGGGGTAGGGGGTGGGGGGGGTGGGCCGTGAGAGCGCCGAGACGCGCGGGGCGCGGAGATGTGCAAGTGGCGAAGCTTGACCGAGAGCAGGCTGGAGCAGCCGCCCAACTCCTGGCGCGGGATCTGCTGAGGGGTCACGGTGAGTCTCTGTGGGTGCGGGTCGGAGGGATGCCCAGGTGCCTCGTCGCCCCACGGCCCGGGCGGAGGCGGGTCCGGAACCTCCCCCAAGTCCGGCCTCAGCCTGGAGCCCGCGCGCCTTGGGCGGATGCACGGACTGAGAGGCGCTTGGCTGGGCTCTCAGCCCGCCACTGCCACCCGGCCCCGTGCGCTCATTGGTCGGGATGTGTCGGCTCAGCAGCCTCCAACTTCTCCCGAATCCCACTGGTGAGTCCCAGGAGAGCGAGCTGAGGGAGAAAGGTCCAAAGGGCGCGAGCGCCCAGGGCGCTGGGAGCCCGTGGGACGGGCACGGGGAGGGCAGAGCCAGCCGAGGGGAGCGGCTGCCGGGAGGTGCGCTGAGCAGGGTCCGCAGCTAAGGTCCAGCGCGATCCGAGCGCCCAGGACCCTGCGGCCGTGGAGGAGGCGTGCCCTGGGAAGGAGCCGCTACTGGGACCTGAAGAGTGAGGGGAGGGAGAGGGGCCCAGAGGGTGACCTGGAGGAGGGCTCTGGAAGTCACGTCAGGTTGGCTCTTCAGGTTCATTTCCATAGTTCCCTGCGGCCTCTGCCTTGGGGAGTTATGTTTTGTTACCGAGATCCGCGCTACCAGATTGCACCGGGGCTGATTTGGGGGCTGGGAATTTGCCATTCTGCTGTACAGACACTGATTTTTTTTTCTTCTTTTTAAAAAGCAAGGTTTGTTTTCATTTTGGTTTCTGTCGGATTTTCTCATTTGTAACTCACTTTTCTATTTTTACTTTTCTTAACCGGAAGATCTTTTCATTATCCCACCTCTTCATCTTGCTTTTAACCTGATTTCCTATTATATAATTAATGCTTAAATCTCACAAGGGTTGGTCGGTGCGGGGCTGGTGTGTCCTTTTGTAGATGAAAGTTTAAGACCTCTTAACTGGTTTCAGTCTATTTGTCTGGTTTCAAAATAAGGGTAATTGCAACCAAATATCCCTCTTTAGCTTCTCGATCAAGTCGATTCCTCCCCCATATATGATTCAAATGGCAATTTTATTAAACTGAAAACTAGTACCTGACTTGCAGCGTCAGCATTTGGAAAGTGCTTGTCGGCAAATCGACTGTATGAAGGCGTGTAGCTTCATCCCCTGCCATTTTTGTGGGTTCTAGCACTTTAAAAAATTGTCTGGTAATTTCTTGGACTTAACCCTGTGTCTTTGGTTGTAGAGCAGCACTAACCAGGGGAGTAATATGGTTGGCACTTCGTGTCCAGAACTCCGTATTTCAGGCTGGGAAACACCTAATTAATGTCTGGGAAACAAGAAGATGATTTATCCTGAGTACCTCTGTCCTCAGCTTCTGCAGACACAGTTTAAATATGGAAACTGTTTCTCCTTCTTCCTGTGCCTCAGTTTCCATAGAACAAACTGTAATTGCATAGCACAGCTTCAGGAACCTGCAGATATAAGTTAATGTTATAATGTGCAGTGAAGATGAAAACTGCTTAGCTAAGTCTAAGTCTGTAAGTCAATGAGATTTCCTTTTTAACAAATCAGTTATCCAGGTTTCCTGCTTTGACTGTCTGATATAGTAATGCTTATGCTCAACTGGTATAAGAATTGCTGCTTTACATTGCTTTGAAATTAAGCTTACACTTAAAATAGTAATTTATTCTGTTGGTAATATTGTCGAGCTGAAGTTTGCAGGTTCTTGTTATCTTAGACCTCCTAATTCTCTATTCTCGTCTGTGGCAGTGTCCACTTTTCCGTTTAAACTTTTTATTTAACACATCTTCAGTTGAAGTGAAATATTTTAAGAATACAGGTATGTTTTTGCGTACCCTGCTTTATATGGGACTATAAGCCTCAACTTGGTATTTTTTTTTTTTTTGTATTCTTTTGTTTACTTGTCCCCCTTACTCTTCTCTATGGGATTGGGTGTGGTTAAGTTGGATATTCAGGTATTTGGGGTTTAGTCATATGTTCCACAGTGAGATTCCAGATACTGTCCCCTGATGTCTTAAAGAAAAATTGTGAACCTTCCAGAATTAACTGGAAATGAACGACAAAGTTAATTAGGAGATTAAACTTGCATCATTTCTGCTTTTGCTCAATGCTTTTGAAAAAAGGCTACTAAGAGCAAAAGACTTCCTTTAAGAATTTACAGGGCATTTACAAGAGGGGGAGATGGAGGAAGACTTTGCAGGTGATTCAAAGATTATATTGTTTTGATGCAGCTTCTGTCACTGTCTTCATTTCTCTGTAACTGTTTCTGCAAACTTGGGTGCTGACCCATTAAGAGCCCAGCTGCTTCAGTACCCAGTCTCAAGGGTAAGGAGGAGAAGCCAAGGGAAAGTAACTTACAGGGAGAAAGAAATGCTTATCCACTAGCTTTACTACACCACAAGGCATGGAGTTTCCACAGAGCACCTGTAATTTAACCCTGAGGCTGCCCTGGTTCACCCCTTCGCTTTACTTTACAGGGACACTGACTGTCATTTCTAAGGAAGAACTAAGAAAAAAAAAAGTCCTTTTATACCAGTAAAACATTTCTCTACATTGTCTTCTGACATATGCGGGGGGAACAATATTCAGGAAAGGGAAATACTTTAGCAAATGTGCTTAACATTCAGGTGTTCTTTAGGACAGTCATGAAACATGGGGAGACTGGGAGAATTATTATTGTTTACCTCTCTGTAAAGTGTCCAGAGTATTATTAAATTTGTTCCCCTCTTTCCTTTGCCCAACCAATACACTATTAAAATAGGACTACAATCAATGCAATTCCATATCATAACCCCAGGGGTGGTGAGACTAAGCCAGCATGCCTTACATAACCATTAAGTAAGACATTTTAACATTCAGGTACATTACATTCCACTTTTATTTAGCAGACACGGTTTTCATTGTGTAATAAAATATTTTTATTTGATAGTCTGTCCTTGCTTATAGCCTCATGTAATCAAGGGGACAGCATGTTTAAGACTTTGTATCCAGAACTTTAAGGTCTAGCTGTGGTTCGCTTATTAATAATTCACTGGGAAGGTTAATTTCTAGTTTTCTGCTGGGTCTCCCAGACCATACTTCAAATGTAGAATATGTTTCTTCTTTCTCCTATGCCTCAGTTTCCACAAAACACACCCTTAGAGAATTGTGTGTGTTCAACAAAGATCTTTAACTATAAGAGCATTTCTGAGCCGCCACTTCATCCTGGGACCAAATTCTAAGAGCAATTTGTATTGAGCTATAAACAGCTAATCTGCTAGTTTAAGATGTTCTTTTATACAGTCATGCAGAAAAATGGAAATTGTGTGTTCTAATCCTTGGAGACTGGCTGATAAAGTGTCACTAGGCCCCTGATGAAATTTAATATTTAGGCTTATATCCCCTTAATTTTCCCCCTAAATTTCTACAGTACGCTTTTACTGCATGATGATACAGCTTTATTTTGAACAGTGACCAAATGTGTTCTTTACAAAGAATATTGACGAGTTGTGTAGTCTTGAACACGTTGCCTGACTTCTCTGTGCCCCAGTTTCCTAATTCTTTATTCTATTCTGTGGCAGTGTCCACTTTTTGGTTTAAAGTTTTTAACACATCTCCAGTTGAGGTGAAAGATTTTAGGAATACAGGTATGTTTTTGCATACCCTGCTTTATACAGGACTACAAGTATCAACTTGGTAACTTTTTGTACTATTTTGTTTACTTATCCCCCTTACTCCCCTCTTAAATGGGATTGGGCGTGGTTAGGTTGGATATTCAGGTATCTTTTGGTACAGTGAGTGACCATTTTCAGAATGTTGTCTAACCAGTTAATAGATACTGGTATCAGTAGTAGTAGTAATTTTGAACTGTAAAAATAAAGGTTGTTTTTATGACTAAAATAAACTACTTCATGTGTTCATTCGTTTTGCTGTTTATCTATATTAATATTTCAAATTATTGCTTAGTCAAAACCTCAAGGTATTAGTCACTGGTTTTTGAGCTTATAAAGGAAGCCACTGGAGCAAGATATAAAATTAACCATTGATGTTAGTCCAGAGTTCAAAAGGGTGAGTTTAAAACTTTCTTAATGATGGTACAGCAATTATTTGCTTATAAACTGCTGAATTAATCCTACTTGAGTATTTAACCAAGTCTTACTGTCTAATTTTGCTGAGATTTTCAGTGATATACCAAAGCAAAACAAAACAAAACAACAGCAACAAAAAACAAAAGGTTGTGACTGAGACCTGTCAAATTCATTTGGCTCTATATACTTTGCATTCAGCAACAAAATTTTGACTTCTCAACAGCAAAAATGTATTTCTATTTTAAAATAACTGAGCCTTTTACTTTTATCCAGCCACATTAAGCATTTGGACATTTTCTTTTTTATTTATTTGTTTTTCATTATTAGTATTTTCATTTTTTGCAGATTTTAGGTGATGGGCAAGTCAGAAAGTCAGATGGATATAACTGATATCAACACTCCAAAGCCAAAGAAGAAACAGCGATGGACTCCACTGGAGATCAGCCTCTCGGTCCTTGTCCTGCTCCTCACCATCATAGCTGTGACAATGATCGCACTCTATGCAACCTACGATGGTGAGTTACTCCCACACCTGTGCATCCATAAGTGCAAAAGAGAAGGAAATCTTCCTCCATGCTTTTACCATCTATCCAACGAATGTGTTAAGGATAGAGGCACTTAAAGACTGACAAAGAGATTCATTTATAAAATGTAACATCAATATGTCAAAATAATTAACTTTGAAGTACGGTGCCTTTTATGTTTGAGCTAAGTTATTAATTGCAAGTATATTTAGTGCGCTCACGCTTACTTATGAGGAATCTAAAGTATGGTTTTATTTGATTAAAATATACACAATTTTATGGCCAGCTTTAGTAATAGTCATTAGTCAACTTTTGTTGTGTCATTGAAATTCTAAACGGCTTCACAGGAATTTAACAAATTTAATTTGAGTCTTGGAAGTTTTTTACAACAAGGATGAAAAAAGATTGATTGTTTAATGGTTAAAAAAATGATTACCAAGCAAAAACAACTGATTATTTCAATTTAATAGGCCTGGGGCTTCGTTGGTAGAGAAGATATAATAACACATTTTTCTTCATAATCAAAATTTTAAATTTAGATTTTACTTATTTTATTTTCTTATATTTTTTCTAACCACTGACAATGATATATAATGTTCAGTTTTTAGTTCTTGCTTTAAGAAATTGCTTATTTAATTGGCAGTTTTTAAAAGAACAAAAGAAAAATAGAAATTTAAAAATTTGTGTTGCCAATATTTATGTATATTCTCTCCTTTTTCTAGATGGTATTTGCAAGTCATCAGACTGCATAAAATCAGGTAAGAAATGGTTTTTACGTGTAATAGTTATACAACTGATGTATAATATTTAAAATTAAATGCTAATCTTAATTTGCTTTGTTTACACTTTTATTCATTGTAGATCAATTATTTATGTGTCTGGCTCTATAATCAATGGAAATAAAAATATATTTAAGTAGTAGATTAATTAACTTGTTTACTCTGAAAAATATATTACTATTTTCAGCCCTGGGCTGTATAGCAGGGCAATAGAAAACTATATCGCTATTTGTATGGAGCTTGCCATGTAGTTGAAGAAAGAAAATGAACACATATGAAATGGTAAGTTTCGTATCATTGTGTTAAATGTCTCAGTGCACCTCACTAGGTGGGTGAGAAGAAGGGAGTGAGATGTAGGCATGTAAATCTAGGTGGAGAAGTTAAAATCTGGGAAGAAATTTCATTTTATTTATTTTTTTTATTTTTTATATTTTGAGACAGAGTCTCGCTCTGTCGCCCAAGCTGGAGTGCAGTGGCGTGATCTCGGCTGACTGCAATCTCCGCCTCCCGGGTTCTAGCAATTCTCCTGCCTCAGCCTCCCAAGTAGCTGGGACTACAGGTACCCACCACCACGCCTGGCTAATTCTGTATTTTTGGTAGAGACGGGGTTTCACCATATTGATCAGGCTGGTTTCGAACTCCTGCCCTCAGGTGATCTGCCCCCCTCGGCCTCACAAAGTGCTGGGATTACAGGCGTGAGCCACCGCACCCAGCCTTAAATTTGGGAAGAACCTTGAAGCAGGGCTAGAATTTAGATGTGGCGGTGCAGAAGAGGGAATTCCAAACACAAAAGAAAGAAACTATGTTATTGAGAAGTAGTAAAAGTGTACGCTTGATAGAAGGACACATTATGGAGAACCTTGAAATCCATGTTTAGCCTTGATATTGTAATACAGGAGAAACAGATATTTTTGAACAGAGGAGTGATCAGGCCAAAGGTGAAAGATGATTCTGCGAATGTGAGGTTGACTGGATTGAGTGAAAAGGAGGGCAGGCAGGTGGGGGCTGCTTCTGTACTCCAAGTGTAAGCTGAAGAGGTTGGCCTGTGGTGAGAGAAGAGTACTATTGAGATAATGGGGAGGGAGAATTGGGTGACTCAGTAGAACTGACTTGCTAAATAAAATGAATGAATTGAGAATGATGCCAAGTTTTAAAACCCAAGGGACTAAAGAGAATGGAGGCAGCCCACACAGAAATAGAGAGGTTATGAGGTGGATGTGGATGTGTTTGGTCTAAGATGAAAATAGACAGGAGGAAGGTAGAGATGAGGTTTAAGAAGCTGGAATTTGGATTTGAGATCTGTCAGTTTAGGAGTGATAGTGGAAGCCTTGGAAGTATTTGAGTTCTCAAAAGAAGAGAAGAGGTTCAAGGGCTAAACTTAAGAAGAGGTTCAAGGGCTAAACAACATCAATGATTAGAAGAGAAGAAAAATAAGTCAGAGCAGAAAACAGAGAAGTGTATGAAGCTATATAAATCCCATCAATTGGAGTGTGGTGAAAATGGGAGTATTTCTTCTTTCTTCAAGAAAAAGGAAGGTGGTAGCTGAGGGCAGCACCTGGGATATGAACACAATATTTGTGTCCTTTAACAAGAGATTCTAAACCTCCTTTCTAACATCTATGTGTCTTATAAGAAATAAATAAACTGTTCCAAATAATTTTAACCATTTTCTGCTGGATATTTTTAATTTTATTTATTTATTTATTTGAGGCAGGATCTTGCTCTGTCACCCAGGCTGGAGTGCAGTATTGTGATCACAGCTTACTGCAGCCTTGATCTCCTGGGCTCAAGGCATCCTCCTGCCTGAGCCTCCTGAGTAGCTGGGACTATAGGCACCTGCCACCATTCCTGGCTAGGTTGTGGGTTTTTTGTTTTTTTTGTTTTTTTTTGTTTTTTTTTTTTGTAGAGACAGGGTCTCACTATGTTGCCCAAGCTTGGTCTTGAACTCCTGAGATCAAGCAGTCCTCCTACTTGTCTTCCCAAAGTGCTGGGATTACAGGCATGAGCCACTGCACCCAGTCTTGGATATTCTTTACTTGGATTTTTGTTATTCACTGAACTTTGCAAAAAAATGACGGGAAAATATCTGGCAATTCTAGGTTATAGTCTAATATCCTGAATCTGTGCCCTTTGGTTTTTTTTTTTTTTTGTATCGTTTTTTGATGGATTTTTTTGCTCTGGGTCACAAGAGCAATGACTAGACACCCTGAGATGTGATGTGGGGAGCGTGAGGGAGACTTGATTTAGATGTTAGCCATTTGCTGCTCGACATAGTAAGTTTTTCCCAAAAACGAAGTTTCTTTATTCCCCAGGGAAATGGCTGCACAGGTACCTTGGCTGGGGGATCTCCGTGGTCATGTGCAAAAGTCAGCATGTGCCCAAGTTGTCAAAGTTAACGTTTACTTCCTCCCCAGATCCTCCTATGCTTCCTCTCTCTACCAGCTACCCTATTATATGCTCAGGCTGTCCTGTTTCGGGAAACTTCCACTTACATATTGACTACTAAGGGTTAATTCCTCTGTCTTTAATACACTTGACATGTCTCTTTGGTATCTTAATCTATAGATTCTCTCTTCTCTCACTATTTTTCCTTTTTCTCTTCTTTTCCTTGAATTTTATTTTCGAAGAAACTGGATTTTTTGACTAGGTAGGTGTATTTCTATAAACGACAAGTGATTTTGCCTCAGAGATCTAGGCAGGTTTTTCCTCCCAAGGAGCAATGTGACATTCAGAATCTGGAATCTTAAATGTGACTTAATGTTTAGAGATAGGATTTTTAAATAGTGTTTGGCAAGTCTCAACTCACTAAAATGTATTTAACCTGTATCCTTTAATTGTAGCTTAGAAATCAAACCAAATGTAAAACACCTTGCAGGATGTATCTTGGCAGAGAAATGTATACAATAGAAATAACTTCAGTGGTAAACAAGGTTGCTGTATAGCTGTATATTTTTCTTCATTCTGCTCTGTTGGTTCACAAGCCATTAGAATACTTGTTCACATTGGTAGTTACTATTCTTCCTAGGAGAATAAATAAGATGACACACACCCTCATGGATACACTCTGCATACTCATAAACACACACACTCGTGCGCGCACACACACACACACACACAGTCTTCTGCTGGTTAGGAAATCTTTTCTGCCACAGAAAAATACAACTATTTCTTTTAGAAGTTGTTGCAAATTAGGAAAACCCTAGAGGAAATCTTGGACAAAAGCAAGTATTAAAGAAGAGTGGCCAGAGTAGAGTAGATGGAAAGAAAAAGAAATGTGAAAAGAGAAGGCTGGGCACGGTGGCTCACGCCTGTAATCCCAGCACTTTGGGAGGCTGAGGCGGGCAGATCACCTGAGGTCGAGAGTTCAAGACCAGCCTGACCAACATGGAGAAAACCCATCTCTACTAAAAATACAAAATTAGCCGGGTGTGGTGGCGCATGCCTGTAATTCCAGCTACTCAGGAGGCTGAGGCAGGAGAATTGCTTGAACCCAGGAGGTGGAGGTTGCAGTGAGCTGAGATTGCGCCATTGCACTACAGCCTGGGCAACAAGACTGAAACTCCATCTCAAAAAAAAAAAAAAAAGAAAAGAAAGAAATATGAAAAGAGAGATGTTGAAAAAATATAAAATATCTTACCAGCAAGTCTATAGGTCACTTTAAGAGAGTGGGTGGGTTCAAACCTGAGCTCAGAAATTCTTGAGAATGGGAAAAGCAAGTATTGACACTCAGGGTGCTTACATTATATGAAAGATGGCCCCAACTTGAACCTTTCTTCCAGTGGAAGGGAATGTCATAGCAAATGTACTTATCTTTGATTCTTTGAAGTCAAGGAATACAGAAGTCAAGCCATACCAAGACAGAAGTAAAATATTGCAGAAGGCTGTTTCAAATCTGTTTGGTGTTACATATTTAAAATCTGAGCATCTAGGATTTAAATATTTATGATGTACATAAAATGATGTTTATGTATACTTTAAATTAACTTGCCTATATGTGTAATGCATCAGTATGAAAGATTACACCAGACCTAAAGTAAAACAAATACCACTTAAGAAATAACAACTTAAGGCAGGGATCAAAATGCTTCAAAGTATTATTCATCGCTTATTTACCCTATAAGGTCATCAAAAACTTAGAGTTATAAAACTTGTATGTGATTTTGCAGACTTTTCCGTGTAAGTCTGAATCCTGAAACTGATTTCCATTGCATTGTAACCTCCCTAACTTAGATTTCAAGGAATCTTGTGCTTTAAATCAGGGTTTCTCAACTCAATCACTATTGATATTTTTGTGCTAGATAATTCTTCGTTGTGGATGCTATTCTGTGTATTATAGGATATTTAGTAGCATCCCTGGCCTCTACCAACTAGATGTCCAGTAGCAGTCCTCTCCTAGTTGTGACAACCAAAAAATGTCTCTAGCCATTACTAAATGTCCCCTGCAGGCAGCACGGTCACTTATGACTGGGTACCACTGGTTTAAACGGTCTCAAGATGTTATCAATGCTTCCCTCTTAACGGTAGGCAGGATAATGGCCTCTCAAAGATATTCACACCCAATTCCCAGAGCCTCTGAATATGTTGCCTTATATGGCAACATGCCTGTAATCCCAGCACTTTGGGAGGCCAAGGCGGGTGGATCACTTGAGGTCGGGAGTTGAAGACCAGCCTGGCCTACATGGTGAAACCCCATCTCTGCTAAAAATACAAAAATCCAGGCATGGTAGCACGCGCCTATAATCCCAGAGGGAGGAGAATTGCTTGAACCCAGGAGGCAGAGGTTGAAGCGAGCCAAGATTGCACGACTGCACTCCAGCCTGGAAGACAGCGCAAGACTCTATCTCCAAAAAAAAGAAAAAGACAACAGAGAATTGAGGGGTCTGCAGAAGCATATGTTAGAAGTGTGGTCCTAAATTATCCAGAGGCCAGAGAAGCCAAGCTAAGACGTGATCAATACAGTTTACAAGAGAAAGTGGGACCACCTCCACCTGTATAGTCATGCAGGTTGTACACTGCATATTTGTCGATGGCAGCCTTGACAGACAGGCTTGTGGAACATCAAGACCTGGATGAAACACCTCTCAGAACTGTCCACTCCTTTTATTTTAATTCTGCACATACCAAGAAAACTTTTGATGATTACTTAATTATTAATACAAGGAGAGGTGGCATTCTGTTACTTGAAAGATATTTTCATCATGGTGAGATAATGCACAGCGGTCCCCTTCTTATCCTCTGAGGATCCCCCAAGACCTCAGTGGATGTCTGACACTGGACTGAACCCTATATATGCTATATTTTTTCTGTATACATACCTATGATAAAGTTTAATTTATAAATTAGACAAAGATTAATAACAATAATTAATAAAAAATAAAACGATTATAATATTATTCCAGCATCACTATTCTTATGGTTTGGGGCCATTATTAAGTAAAATAGGGTTACTTGAACACAAACACCATCATCCTGCAACAGTTGATATGATAATAATGGAGAAGGCTCCTTCGTGACTTTCATCATGCTACTCAGAATGGTGCGTGATTTAAGACATATGAGTTGTCTGTTTCTGGAATTTTCTATTTAATATATTGGACTGTAGTTGACCATGGGTAACAAACCATGGAAAGTGAAACCACAGATATGGGGGAGACTACTGTACGCACATACTGATTTAATCAGATTTGTGTGCTTTGAGCTATGACCCTGGAACTGAAATGAAGCTTGCAAATGTCTGCAAGGGCCAGATCATGGTGATGCCCTAGGTGATGCATCTTGGCAACAGCTAGCCTTCTCCTGGCTGTCACAAGGCATCTCTGCCTTCTTGCCTGTTAACACCTTGAAACCTCCATGAAGGAAAACAGCACAATTAGGTAAATACAGGAAGGACTGATGGCTAACTCATGGGGGCTACTGGCCCTGTAGCAGCCTTTTAGTGTAGGAAATGAGGCTATTTCATTATGTAGTTAAGTTTGGAAAAAATCCTTCATGGAATAAGAAAGCAGCAGACATCTTAGTAGGAAGACCACTGAAGCACACCTTTGTTAATTTAAATGTGGCATGTGGCAATTTGCTTTGTGTGGCTTCCCTGGCACAATTCTCGTGAAAATTGTGTAGGGATATTACCTTACATTTATCCAGTCAAAATTAGCATCTGTCAATCAGATCCTTTCCAAGAAAGGGAATCAGTTATATCATAAATACACAAATATATAACATGTGTTTTTTACCCTCCAGGGAAACTTTAAGCAAGTAGTACACCATCATTTTTTAATGAATGGTCAAGAAATTGAAAACATATATAAGTTGAGTTAAGCAGTTAAAGGGAAAGACAATTAGCAATGCCTGGTAAGCTAAGTGGTACTCCAAAGGTTTATTTTATAGCTACAGAAATTATCTACATGTAGAGGGGGTGGATACAAACTAGCTTAGACTGGGGTGAGAATCCTGGTTTGACATTTAACATTTTAGAATAAGAGATATAGAAAGATTCCTCTGTAGTTGAAGGATCCTGTTTTGTCCTACTCATAAGCAAATCCATGGGGTAGCAAGGTGCTTTCTGGTAAGCCTTTGATATGATATGAAGCTCAAGTTGATAAAACAGATTAATTGAAGGAAATTGAAAAATACGCAATTTAAAAAACCATAAGGAGAATGTTGCACAAGCTTTTGAATCCTGTAAATTTTCATTCTTTAAGACCATTCAGAAAAGGAGATTTTGTCGGGGGCCAGTGGTGGCTTGTTTTGATCCTATTTCTGAACCAGCTGAAAACTAGAATACGTTCTTTCTGTTCAAAACATCCTAGATGGGCCACATATTAGTCAGGCCTTCTCCAGAGAACAGAACCAATGGTATATGTATATAAAGTCTCAGTATCCAAAGGCCCAAGAACCTGGAGTTCTGATGTCTAAGAACAGGAGAAGGTGGATGTCCCAGTTCCAGAAGAAACAGAGGATTTCCCCTCCCTCTGCCTCTTGTTTTATCTAGGCCCTCAACAGATTGGATGATGCTCAGCCACAATGGTGGTAGAGTGTGGATCTTCTCTACTCAGTCCACTGATTCAAATGCCACTCTTTTCCATAAACATCCTCACGGATGCACCCAGAAATAATGCTTTAGAAATAATGCTTTATCAGCTATCTGGATATCTCTTAACCTGGTCAAGCTGATACCTAAAATTAACCACCACAGGCTACAGTGAAAAAGATAGTTCCAACTGTGAGTGAGGATGCGGAGAAACTGAACCATCATACATTAATGGTGGGAATGTAAATTTTAGTACATCTGGATCAACATGTTAGAAACATTTTGAAAAACAGTTTGATAATTTTTACAAAATGTTAAATATATACTTTCCATACAACCCAGCAATTCTACTCCTAGGTGTTACTTAAAATAAATGAAAACACATATCCTCACAAGGACTTCATTACAGCATAATGCTGTTTTTATAAATAATTTATAAAAGCCAAAATATGGAAATATCCCAAATATGTATTAACAGGTGAATAAACAAAATGCCATATAGCTATAAACTACGATACCACACAGCAATAAAAAGGAGCAAACTACTGTTATGTGCAATGGTGTAGATAAACATCAAAAACATTATGCTGAGTGAAATAAGCCAGACACAAACTGCATATTGTAAAATTCAATTTATATGAAATTTCTATAAGAAGCAAAACTATAGGGGCAGAAGACAAATATTGGTTGCCTGAGGCTGGAGATGAAGCAGGGATTGGCTGCAAATGGGCATAAGGGGACTTCTTGGGGTAATGGAAGTGTTCTAAAATTGGACTGTGACAAATTCTCAGCTTTTTGGCTAAAGATCAAGTGTAAATTGGATTGTGGTGATGGTTGCACAACTGTGTAAATTTACCAAAAATTAATCGGGTGAATTTTATGGTATACAAATTAATAACCCAAAGCCGTTAAAAAAAAAAAAGCAAACAAAAATTCACCTTCATTCTTTCCCCCATCTCTCCAATGTCCATTTTTACATAGTTATCTCATGTTTTGATCTTATGCTTGCTATTGTATGTTGAGTCCATTGAGCTCCATTTTTGCAGTTTAAATGATTATATGTAGTTTTCAATGTAGTTTTCAAATCTTCACTAAATAAACTCAAGCTTTTTAGTTTGAGTGAGCCTCTATTATTTAATTATATTAGCAATATATTGACGAAAAGTCTCTGGAAATAGTAAATCAACTGGGAAGTTAAAATTATTTCAGGATTAGGTGTTGGAAGTCCTGTTTTCACCCCCTGGGGTTTCACTTACAGAGGAAGTCAAAGACATATGTGTCCAGGTGTACCAGCCATCTGGATCAAAGCCAGACCACTTGGTCTACCACAGAGCAGTTAGCAGTTCCTGCTTCTGGAAAAATGTGTTGGTTTTTCACACAGGTGCTGCGAGATGTTTTCCTTTTCACCTTAACTGATAGAAAGTCAAGAGCCAGGACGGGCGTTTTGGCTCACGTCTATAATCCCAGCACTTTGGGAGGCCGAGGCAGGTGGCTCACGAGGTCAGGAGTTCAAGACCAGCCTGGCCAAGATGGTGAAACTCTGCCTCTACTAAAAATACAAAAACTATCTGGGCATGGTGGTGGACGCCTGTAATTCCAGCTACTCGGGAGGCTGAGGCACAAGAATTGCTTGAACCCAGGAGGTGGAGTTTGCAGTGAGCTGAGATCTTGCCACTGCACTCCAGCCTGGGCGACAGAGTGAGACTCTGTCTAAAAAAAAAAAAAAAAGATTGAAAAAAAGAAAAAAGAAAAAGTCAAGAACCAAATTTGAATTTAACTTGAAATTGTAGGACTTCTTTGTATAAACTTGCTTCATCAGCTTTATTCCTATTCCTCTTTTCTTTCTCATACAATGTATATTAGTTTATTTTATGTATCCCTCTAAGGCCACTTTGAATTATTTTAGGAAGAATGTAGGTTAATAATCAGATGAATAGAATATAAATTCCAACAACTGATATGTGCAGGAGAAGGGCTGTTAAATTATAAACTTTATTTCAAAGAGATGCAAGTGTTATGAGTAACGGAGGCACAATTTTTGGAAGCTTACTGCTTCTTTTTCCACTAAGCCAACTTTTAGCATGGGAGATCTGGGATGTAAGTTTTGGCCACATCCTGTGTGATTGGTATGAGATCCTAATTAAGTCAGTTCAGCTTTCTGCATTTCATTTTCATTATCTACAAAATTGGAATTGAAAGTGTCTCATTTTACAGGGAAACAGCAAAGACTAACGACAGCCTATTTCATGTTACACGCCCTTCAGGGAGATGCACCATAGGTATAATGCACAGATAGGATTCATAGACATCTTATTTCATGAAAATTGCAAATGCACTATTTAAAATTTTTTATTGAGAATCAAATAAAAATCAAATCAAAAGGCGAACAGTGTATTTTTAAAGAGGAAGTTGTAGCCAGAAACAGAGAGAAAGAAAAAAGAGAATGTGGTACATTTTACATATTCTCAAATAAAAATGTGTCATCCTTTATGAACAACATTTGATTTGATTGCTGTGCTCTGTCTTAGTATGGGGGTGACAGTTCAGGCTTTGAATCAATTAGAATGAGCACAATCAGAAATGAACACTTGAATCTGTGTTTCCTGTAAAGAAAAGCCTACCATCAGGGACACCTTAGTTTGTAAACCTAGCTAATCTGCACTCACCCTTGCCAGTACCCCTTTTCTCACCTCTGATTAATCCCTTGAAGTAAGTAAGTCAGAGGTCTGCATCAGGAGAATGACTAGATCCTTGGTATTCAATGCGTGGTCCATGGACCAACAACAGCAGCAGCCACTGAGAATGTGCAAAAATGCAGTCTCGGGCTCCGCCTCAGACCTACTGAATCTGTGGCTGCACTTTCAGTAGCCTCTTCAGGTGATCTGCAAAATAAGGTTGAGAAGCACTGAGGAATAGTGATTTTCAAATATGGCTGCTTATTACAATGATTTGGGAAGCTTTTGAAATGTACCCATACTACTAAACCTTCCATTCTTCCTGGGCACACAAAGTTTCCATTTCTTCAGTGGAGTAGTTTCTGTTATGTGTTAGGAGGAAAAGCAATTTAAGTAAATGAATAGATGTTAAGGGGTATAGGAATTGCCTGGATATTTGCATTTTTAAAAGAAGGTACATATTGACCAACTGATTGCTTTAACAGGTTCAATTTCAGACTGTGTGCTCAGTGAAGACTTTAAGTTAGAGAGGAGTGAAGACTTTAAGTCAGAGAGGAGAGACACTGAGCCTGATTTTCTGCTTATCGTGGACAAGCTGAACCTGGAATATCTTCCTAAATTTCCCCAGTGTAATGCAGGCATGCTATTTCTGTAGAGACATTAGAACAACTTTTTGCCTCTTCCATTCATTCATTTATTGATTTATCTATTCATTAGTTAATTAATTTTATTTTTTATTTTTTTTAGAGGCAGGGTCTCCTTATGTTGCCCAGGTTGACCTCAACCTCTTGGGCTCAAGCAATCCACACGCCTCAGCCTCCCAAGCAGCTAGAACAACAGGCACATGCCACCATACCTGGCATTCATTTTTTTTTCCACAAAAGCATTAATCAAGCAGCTTCTAAACATTGAACACTAGACATTGGAAATATGAACTAAAATACCCCCTGCCGTCAGGAAAATGAAAACCTGGTCAGTGTGACAGACATAAACAACATTACCATATGGTTTGATAAGTGCTATGATGGTGATAAGATTTGTGTGCTACAGGTGCCCTGAGAGAGGAGCACCTAAACCAGAGCGGGTCTGGGAGTGGGCAGCTAAAGTGATAGCAATGAGGCCGGGAAAGCAGTCGCACTTCACCAGCTAAGTTCTGAAGGATAATTGAATTGCCCAACCAGTGGGAGCAGAGGAGAGCATGTGCATAGTCTGTATGCAAGATGGAGGCAAGAGCTCAGGAAGTTTAGGACCTACTAGTGGTTCATGATGGCTGGGATGTAGAAGCTAGCAAGACTTGATACTAGAGAAGTAACCAGGGCCCAGGTCACACAGGGTCTTATATGCCATGATAAATGGGTTGCATTATCTCCCGAAGTCTACAGAAAATGAATAAAATTAAAATGCCGCAGGGGACATCTAAGGGATTTTAAATAGGGATGTGTGACATTGTCAAGATTGGCTGCTGTCTAGCTCAAGCCTGGTAAAGTGGAGGCAAAGATTTACCCAAACAAAGGAATAACATTTTGGTGCCCCTGGTGTGTGAGAGAGCTTGGCAATATTGAGAAACTGAAAGAATATCTGTAAGGCTATCATAGAGGGTGTGTATGAAGATATGAGAGTGGAGGCAAGGAGAAGTGTTCACTATTGGCAAAAGAAATAAGCAGGAATTGGATTTTGTAGTCTGTGTTAAAGTGAATGCACTTCCTTCTAGTAGCGGTGGGAGGTCACAGAAGGAAGGGTTTTAAATGACGCATGACTTTATCAGAATTATTGAGAAAGATCACTGAATAGAAATAAAGAATGGCTGTGGGCAGGAAATTGGGCTACTGCACTTATTTGGATGAGTATTATGGTTGCCTGGATTTGAATGGCAACAGTTTTTATTGTTGTTGCTGTTGTTTGTTTGTTTGTTTGTTTTGAGACAGGGTCTCACTCTGTCACCCAGGCTGGAGTTCAATGGCACAATCACAGCTCACTGTAGCCTCAACTTCCCCAGACTCAGGCGATCCTCCCACCTCAGCCTCCTGAGTAGCTGGGATTACAGGCATGCACCACCACACCCCGTTAAGTTTTGTAATTTTCTGTAGAGATGGAGTTTCACCATGTTGCCCAGGCTAAGAAATGGACAGATTTGAGAAATATTTACTGGGAAGTAGAATTCATAAGGCACAATGTTTCTGTAAATAGGTGAGGTTGTGAAAAGGAAGTGAGGAAAAGGTAACTCAAGTTTCTGGCTTGGTAAATTGGGTGATAAGTCAGCTGTTCACCAAGCTAGGGAGCACTGAAGCAGAGCTTATTGGGTAATAGGCTGGGACCAATGCAGTGAAGAGTTCACTGTGAGATAGTTTAAATTTGAGATACTGGTACATATTCGATGTGGTAGAATTCAGGGAAGATGGTGTTGGAAATAAAGATTCGGGGGTCATCAGCATGTGGATGATATGGTTGAGATTTCTTAGGGAGGAAATGGAGAAGAGAACCCAGAATTGCATCACATAAAGCAACATTTAAAAATGAGAAGAGGAAGAAACTCCAAAAGAAACCGAGAAGTAATCAGAGAGGTAGAAGGAAAATCAGCGAAGTGTAAAATCACCAAAGCAAATGGAGGAGCAGCTGTCCAAAATTAGAGAGTGATCATTGGAATTAAGCACAGCTGAGAGGTTGAGTAGGCTAAATGTTGAAAGCAGAAAGGAAGACATTGAAGATTCAGGTGAAGATCAGGTGGAAAATTGATGGATTTTGTCCAGAGGAAGTAAAAGAGGATGTATATCCAGAGAAAAGAATATAGGATGATTCCGAGATAAAGGATGGCCTCCTCCTCCCCCTTTTATTTAATACTAGGGAGAAAGAAGCCAAGATGGCTGAAATGCAAACATGTTTGGAAGCTAGGAGGGACAGGAAGTTGAATGGGTCATCATCCAGTTGCCTTTGTGAAGTAACAAACAAAAATCTCCGCCTGGGAGTGAGCTGGTAGAGAAAGTAAGTAAGGAGAGTATGAAGACTGGAAAGTGTCCATGTGAGGAGTGGGCCATGCACACAGAACTGATGGCTCTGTTGAAATGGAAGGCTATAACTTGAAATGGCATTAAACCAGGCAGTTGTGGGGTTTCTCCAGCATCACCGATAATGGCTTCAACAGATATTGTCAGCACTGTTTTAGATGCTAAGGATACTTAGCACCTAAACGCAGAGTGAGCAACACAATGTCCCTGCTTACAGGAGCTTACAGCAGTAAAGGAGACAGTAAATAAACACACACACATATAAAAAAACATTATTAGATAGACTAGAGTTGGAAGGGAAAAGGAAGGCAGCTGGATCAATTCAGGGTAGGCTCATTTGCAGGGGGCAAGGGAATGAAATACTTTGGTGAGATGATGGTTTCAGGGATGGCACCACAGGATGTACACTGGACAGAAGATATAAAAGAAAAGTAAAGTAAAAAATAGAGTGGCTGGCTGGGCGCAGTGGCTCACGGCTGTAATCCCAGCACTTTGGGAGGCCAAGGCAGGCGAATCACCAGGTCAGGAGATCAAGACCATCCTGGCCAACGTGGTGAAACCCCATCTCTACTAAAAATACAAAAAAATTAGCTGGGCGTGGTGGTGCCCGCCTGTAGTCCCAGCTACTCGGGAGGCTGAGGCAGGAGTATCACTTGAACCCAGGAGGTGGAGGTTGCAATGAGCCAAGATCGCACCACTGCACTCCGGCCTGGGCGGCAGAGTGAGATTCTGTCTCAAAAAAAAAAAAGAGTGGCCATGGGGTGAGAGTTTTCAGTGAAGTCGAGGAACAGGTGTAGAGGGAATAAAGAAATGAAACAAACAAACAAACAAAAAACACTTCTAAGAATCAGAAGATTCTTATTGGAGAGGGGGGTTACTCGAGATGAAGATTTCAGAGGTACAACTGTTCTGGGTGATGAGAACATTAAGATGTCGTCATGAAAATGTGTAGACTAATGTGAAGTGAAGGTGAAAGTTAGGAGAGTTCAGATGGTCAAGAAATTCTTAAGCTAGAGTGTAGCAGAGGTTGTCCACAGGGTCTCTGATGTTACATATCAAGATGGTAGAACTTATGTGGAAGGGCAGACTGCACAAAGTGCCAGAGTCTTAAACAAGCAGAGATGAATGCCTCTGGAGTCAGTAGAAGACAGAGATAAAGTAGGTGAGGCGGGGATGGTTGACTGGCAGAAGCTTAAATAAGCAGAGTGGACAGTAAGGATTTGGCTATTGCACCAAGTGATAACAGAAAACTAGTTTTGCTTTTCCATGTTGGGGCAAGGTGGAGGGATATGCCACCTGATGGGATTAGTTCATATGGATTAGTATTTTCAGTACACGTGTTGTCATATGTAATTATCACTCAAAAGGGTAAGCAGCAACTAATAAGAAGAGGTGCTGGAGGGCCACCTGTCTGGCATATAGTGTGGGATTCCATTTGATACAATTACAAATGAATTCATTTTTACTCATTTTTATCTTTTCACTATCCTAGATAAAAACTCAAAATGAATCAATGAGTTCTTATCTTAAAACAATATGTTCTGTTTAAACATTTCTCAGCGGTATAATCTTCCTTTAATCTTACATTTCTTCAATCCAGAGGAGTCCAACTACAGTGCCTTCACCGTGAAGCTAATGAAAAGGGAGTTGGTCCACTGTGTAGACTAGACTAGATGATTGCGAAGTTAAATTGAAGTAATTGAGCAGGTACCCAATAGCCAGCAGCGGATTTGTTTCTCTGTTCTTGATGCTTAAGTAAAAACAAGCAAGCCAAGTATTAAATGGTGGAGCTCCTGACAACACAGCTTCATAAAAAAGAAACTGCTTGACTCAAGGAGTGTGTCCTTGCGATAGTTTGCCGAGAATGATGGTTTCCAGCTTCATCCATGTCCCTACAAAGGACATGAACTCATCCTTTTTATGGCTGCATAGTATTCCATGGTGTATATGTGCCACATTTTCTTAATCCAGTCTATCATTGTTGGACATTTGGGTTGGTTCCAAGTCTTTGCTATTGTGAGTAGTGCTGCAATAAACATACATGTGCATGTGTCTTTATAGCAGCATGATTTATATTCCTTTGGGTATATACCCAGTAATGGGATGGCTGGGTCAAATGGTATTTCTAGTTCAAGAAAACCGAGGCAATACCATTCAGGACATAGGCATGGGCAAGGACTTCATGTCTAAAACACCAAAAGCAATGGCCACAAAAGCCAAAATTGACAAATGGGATCTAATTAAACTAAAGAGCTTCTGCGCAGCAAAAGAAACTACCATCAGAGTGAACAGGCAACCTACAGAATGGGAGAAAAGTTTTGCAATTTACTCATCTGACAAAGGGCTAGTATTCAGAATCTACAAAGAACTCCAACAAATTTACAAGAAAAAAACAAGCAACCCCATCAAAAAGTGGGCAAAGGATATGAACAGACACTTCTCAAAAGAAGACATTTATGCATCCGACAGACACATGAAAAAATGCTCATCATCACTGGCCATCAGAGAAATGCAAATCAAAACCACAATGAGATATCATCTCACACCAGTTAGAATGGCGATCATTAAAAAGTCAAGAAACAACAGGTGCTGGAGAGGATGTGGAGAAATAGGAACACTTTTACACTGTTGGTGGGAGTGTAAACTAGTTCAGCCATTGTGGAAGACAGTGTGGTGATTCCTCAGAGAAATAATTTTAATAATGTTTGAGTGAATCAAATATACAAATAGTATTGTGATGCAGTGTACCCACAATCATTAACTCAACTATGAATTACTCAAAGCACTGTAGATAATAGTCTAGCAAGGATCTGACAATATGTTGAGAAGAAATGATGCACATGAAACCTTGAAAGTCACCTTAAAGAAACTCATATCATGCAAATATGAATATTTTAATAGCTACTATAAAATAGTAGAGCTGAGTGCTGTGGCACACACCTGTAGTCCAGCTACTCAGGAGGCTGAGGCAGCAGGATCACTTGAGCCCAGGAGTTGGAGATTAGCCTGGGCAATGTGGCAAGACCCCATCTTCAATAAATAAATAAATAACTTAGTAGCAATTGGTGCTATGAAACTTTTTGATGTAGCTTGGATATTTGTCCTCGCCCAAATCTCATGTTGAATTAATCCTCAGTGTTGGAGGTGGGGCCTGGTGGGAGGTATTTGGATCATGGGGGCAGATCCCTAATGACTTGGCCCTGTCTTTGCAATAGTGAGTGAGTTTTCATGAGATCTGGTTGCTTATAAGTGTGTGGAACCCCCCCACCCACTCTCTTCCTCCCGTTCTTGCCACGTGAGATGCCTGCTCCTCCTTCACGTTCTCTCATAAGTAAAAGCTCCCTGAGGCCTCCCAAAAAGCAGATGCTGGTGTTATGCTTCCTGTACAGCCTGCAGAGCCATGAGCCAATTAAACCTCTTTTCTTTATAAATTACTCAGTCTCAGGCATTTCTTTATGGCATTGCAAGAACAGCCTAATACATTTTGCATGGTGCATATCAACTATGGTAATAAAGTGAAAACAAAGAAGTGGGAAGCTTTGAAAAGTTGACAAATTGGTTGAGTACCATATGGAACTCCAGCTGTAGGATCAGTCCCATTCCAGGCCCAGGCACTCACTGGGGCCAAGGTCAGTAGCTCAAACATTCCACTTCCAGTCAGCCCTACTCTTGGTGATCTGCCTCTGACCCCAGCTCTAGTAAATGGGTTTCTGCCTTCTCCCATAGGGATTTCACTCCTGGCTCATTCCCCACTTCTGGAAAATGAGTTTCTTTTTTTCTTTTCTGTCTTCTGGGACTGAAATCTAGCTTAGCTCTTAACCTCATGACCTTTTGCCAGACCACGGAGAACTGAAGTTTCCTTGGATCAACACACACCATCTGCTGGTTATAGCTCCCTCCTCACAGCTGCCGTGGGTGCCCTCCCTGTGTGACTTATTTCTGTTGCTTGTAGCTGAGAACTTCTTCTGTTGATGGTCCTTTATAGTTTAACTAAACCGGGATTCAGTCTCACTGGGCTAGTCAAACCACTTCTACCAGAGCCCAGTTTATGTGAATGATGAATGTTTTACATGGAAAAAAAATGTTTCTTCATTTACTGAGGAAGGAGCACCTTCACTGATTTTGTATGCCAACACAGACAGCGAAGGATCCTGCTTGTCCTTCACCTATCAGCCATCACACCTATTAGGAGGGGGGAATTGGTCTTTTGTTTTGTTTATTTAGTAAAAGGAAATCTAATTATATATTAAAAGTTAAAAAAATTTTAGATCCTGCCTACATGACTTTAAAATGAGCAATAAAAGTCATTTTTTATTCAGGGATAGTAACAGGAAAAAGAAGCTAGTATCAGAATGTTTTAAGATTCCGATACAGTGCATATGCAGGTTTTAGTTTACAAATAGCAGATGGTGATGATTTACTATAAGAAGGTGTAATTAATTGAGAATGAAGGATCCTTTTGGAGTGTCCATTATGGGCTAGTCATTGTGCTAGGCGTAGGAATTAGAATCCTTTCCCTGGGTGGGGGTATACTTAAAATTATTGCTTTTGTATTCTATGGATTACCTTGAAATACCCTTTGAGTCATTTCTCAAAAATTGTGCATATCATACCGATCTGATAACTCATTGCACTGTTGATCTGAGGCTTCATCCCCTCACCTAACCACATGGTCATCCATTTTGCAGTCCACAAGAGCCCTTCCTGGATTCATGGAAAGAACTTGCTCTCACTTGGGCTTGAGAAAGCATAAGTCAACTTGGCAGGGCATGTGTTAACAAGATGATTTAGAACTTTGCGACCAGCCAGAACCATAAAGACAGCTTGTAATAAAAGTAAAGCTGTTCTCATGAGATGCCCATGATGAGGGCTTCTAGGGCAAGGCTGCTGTTTCTTGCTACCTCAGCAAGAATGAGGTCTCTTTCCCATGATCATTTCCCTCCCCTTCACTGGGCAGGGTGACAAAGACCAGGCCTCTGCTCCCACCAGTCAACAACAGGCAGGGCTCCCAGCATGCCGAAACCTTGAGAGCTACCTCTTCCTCCTTTATCCCTTCTTCAGAGGGTAGCCTACCTGTCCACACCGGCAGAGAGTCACTCTGCATGTCAGTCCTCTTTCGGTTGCCTCTTTTGTCAAAAACGTCACCTACTTTCACTGCCTGGGACACAGCTCAGAACCTGACTCAAATATTTGTTGAATGGCCAACGGAATGAATGAATTGCCCTCTCTCCTCTACCTTCAACTGGTAGCTCCCCCTTCATTCCCAGAGCATCCTATACGCTTTACCTATAACTCATATCCCACTTGTTATTAGTTGTTCAATGTCTGGTTTTTGTCCACTAAAATGTAAGTTTTGACTGTTTCTATTTTATTCATTATTCTATTTCTAGCACCCAGCAATGTGTAAGTTACCAATAAATATTGATTGAATAAATATACTCTCAGGTTCCTTACCTTGAAGTCACAAAACTATTGATGCCTATGCAAGGTGACTTGTAAGCATACCTAATACACAAATATAGCTGCCTCAAGGAAACGTTTTCAGTCTAGCTAGGTCCTGCTTATGTCAGATTTCTCAGTTCAGTATTTCTGTATCAAGCCTCCTAGGTTTAGCCCCTTTCTATCTGATCCATCTTCTTTGCTAGCAATAAAGTCAATTACGCTCTTCTCAGTTGTCTAATTCACCTTGCTAATTCTACCCTCCTAAGCTAGAACTAGGTTAATGAGGAAACAGTTTCCGGATGTGTTTCTATTTCCCACTATTTTTCTGTTTAAGGGAAAATTTCAACTAATTTTCTACTTGGGTGTAAGCATTTCCAGCTCTCTAGGAGCAAAGTCTCTATCAGTCTGGTTTTTCTTTTCCAACTGTGGTTTGTTCTGAATTCCTCCCTTCTCAATAATTTATTTCTTCTCTCTTTTAACACTCTGTGTTCTTCTTCTCTTGAACACCATTATTTAGCTAAGTGTTGCTGTTCTTCAACAACCACCATCCTCTAAAACTCCTCTGTCCCTGCTCACTTCATTCATAACACACAAATTCAAATTCCTAGCCAGCTCACGCATACATGCATAAACTCACTTATGGAAGGACATTACAAGAGACTCCTTACCTCTAGGTTAGGAGGAGCTTTACTTATCAACTGAATACAGTAGGAGCTTTACTTGTCAACTGAACACTGAGTAAGTTTGAGAATTGAAAATGAGACCTGAGCATCACAAAACAACCTTTCATATCTAGATATAGTTACCATCTAGGAGTTCACGTGCATTATAAAAGAAATGGTCTTGTTTAAGATGAAACCCTGCAAGCTCTGTGAGGGCAGGGATTATGTCTGTTTATCACACCATGGTATGTTCAGTTCCTAAGAGTGTCGGGTATATAGAGGCCGTCAATATTTGTTGAAATTAAATGAAAAGTTTCAGTCTTTTCATGCTTCACAAGAAGAAAATCTTTTGGAGAAAGCCAATGATTTAACATAATCTTCTGGATCTTCTATGACAGAAAATAGCTATTTAATCCGTAAAAAATATAAACATATGGAGCCAAATACTGCCTTGTGCCAATCAAATGTTTGGTTTATTAATAGTTACTAAATTTATTAGTGCTCTCTAGAAAAGAGCCTTTTTAGAATTTGATTTCATTTTAGGCAGCATTCGAGAAGCACTGTCGACTCAGCTTTCCTCTGGCTGTTGTCTTTTTGTACCACTCCCTAACCAAAATTGATGCAAAGGCAGGATGCTTTGAGTTACTCTCAGTAATCACATATTATTGAAGTCAGCTGGTTATTCTTGACAGACAATATGATCCAAAATAACACAATGTTTAAACAGAAGGAACATGGGTGTGGACCCCCATTGCTCCCTCTTCAGAGATGTCTGCCAGGGTCCAGGGAACTTGGGATCTACCTGAAGAGTGTTACTAAGGGAACAATGTAGCCTTTTCATGACCTTCTATAGCTTTAGTTTAAAAAAGGAACATTATCATCATTTGCTAACATTACAATCAACAGCAGATCTGATAACTCATTTTAAGTGATATATTGTATTTAAATTACAGTATAATCCCTAATAGCTTTTTGCCAGCAGAGTCTTTCAGGATTCAAAATGCAAATTGCACCTGAAAAAGAAAAATTATTTTTAGACTTATGGCACTTTAACTTAACTGTAACACAGTTAGAATACTTTTTATTATTATTATTATTAATAGAATATGTTTCGGTTGCGAATTCTGGAGGAATCCCTACTGGAAAATAATTGCCAGTCCTCCCTTGGCTGTGAGCCATTCATTGAAATGGACTATGAGATAAGACTGAAGAATTTCACTAATTTCGGGAGTGCCAACTGAAGTTTATTATTGTGAATCCATTAGACATGAGATTTCTGTGATTATCTCAATGAGTTCTAAAATCCAGGTCCAAATGAGGTGGAAAAATTTTATATGACTATATACATGTTATAGAGCAATTAATATTTTAATTGGGTGTCAAGAAAAGCAGTGGTTGCTCTATAACTTAATTTGGGTTCCTCTGCCTCTCTGTAGAGTTTCTGAAAATTTTTAAATGTCATTTGGAGTTAAGGCAGAATGATACTGTGGAAAAAGCATCAGCTTAAAATTAGACCTAGGCTCAGCTTTAGTTGAATTCCTTAAATTTACATTGGTGACGTTGAGTTTGTAACCACCCCATACCTAGATTTTCTTAAAATAGGAGTAATATGTCCTACTTTATAAAGCAGTTCTAAGGAAGAAAAATGATTAGAACCCAAGGCAGTTTCACATAGTATAAGATCCCAGACGCTGGCCACCAGGTTTCTTGAGTTCAAACCCACTGCATTATCCTTTGCCAACTATGTGAACTTGGGCACAAATCACTTACCGTCAATTTCTATATTTGGAAAATGGGGACACAAATATAGTTACCATACAAGGTTAAAAGAAAACAAACATTAAAGAAAGCATTTAAAAAACAGCCATCATGAAGTTGGCACTTGGCGTTTGACATATGTCAAGTGTTGGCTTCTATTGTTATTATTATTATTACATTTAAGCGTCTTTGGCTAAACCTAAATGAAAATCCTATAATTTACATTGTATATTTAAATCTGATAGTGAATTTATCTGATAGCAAATGGATTCTAGGTTGATTATTCATATGCTTGTGCCTACGTGTGTGTATGCATATTTGTTGTATGTATAAGACCTATGGATTTAAGATAAATTAGTCACATGTATATATGAAATATAGTTATAAACTAATTACTCCCCAAACTAGAACAGCAAAAATAGGTCTCCTTACTTAAGAGTACAGCTGTACAGAGTAAATTCACTATGCTTGGAAACTTCTTTCATATCTATTTGTGTAAGTCTGCAGCTAGTTTCTGAACAGTTGTATAGTGATGGTTTCATGGTACTCACCAATTAGACAAGTATAAGTCATGACCTTGGCTTTCTTGGAACGTAACCAGTGGTTGACAGGGAGTGTTTGAGTTAAATGATAAACTAGCAGTCCAGTTTACACTCAGCATCTGGTATCCCCCACTCTCCATCTTTCTTCAACCAAGGCATCACAAAAGCAATTTGGGGGCAGGCATTTTCATTTAAAAATGGAGAGTGGATTGTGGAAGCATCCTGAGTGTTTGTAATGAAAGCCATTTGGTTTTTATTAGCATTAGAGTCTACGTGCTTGCTAGTTTTCAGTCATTTTCTCTTCAAAAATGGTTCCCCAGATTCCAGTTTTCACATTGCTGCCTTTTGAATTGAATCCTTTGTGACCCGTTGTGATTACATTGCATTTTCCTTGTGTTCTTTTAAAAAGTTCTGACTTTCTCTGAATTGTGGTTGGGGGGATGGTGGGAGGAGGGTGGCAGCAAGGGAATAGGGTCACTTGTACTTTTAGAATGTTGTCAAAAGAGATTTTTAAATTGTCAAAAATTGCCTAGAAGTAATATCAAGCTTAGTGTCTGCTAATAAAGCAAGGATTTACAACAGAAGGTTCGGTCAGAAATGGGTGTCCTAAGGTCTTTACAAAAGAGCATTTGCTCCTGGGTTCCCCAACATTTCTCTGACCTCTGTTGGACAATTCTAGAACAGTTATAAATCAGGCTAATTATAATGATGTTAGGATACTGGTGTTGTGTGTTTGGGGTTAGGAAGCTGAGAGCTTAGGCAATTTGAAGACAACAAGCTGAAAACAGCTTTGTTCATATACCATTCCCTAAACATTAATTCAGTGCAGATTAAGAATAGTCAATGGAGGGACCGGGCGTGGTGGCTCATGCCTATAATCCCAGCACTTTGGGAGACTGAGGCGGGTGGATCACGAGGTCAGGAGTTTGAGACCAGCCTGGCCAACATGGTGAAACCCCGTCTCTACTAAAATACAAAAATTAGCCTGGCGTGGCAGTGGGTGCCTGTAATCCCAGCTACTTGGGAGGCTGAGGCAGGAGAATTGCTTGAACCTGGGAGGTGGAGGTTGCAGTGAGCCGAGATCGTGCCATTGCACTCCAGCCTAGGCAACAGAATGAGACTCTGTCTCAAAAAAAAAAAAAAAAAAGGAATAGTCAACGGAGGAATTTTGTCATGGCACTGGGGGTATATATGTGGTATGTATGTTGTAAATAGATGCCTAACCTATTTAAAACGTGGCTAATTTATAGTGACCAAGAGTTTTTAAAATAGAGTAGTAATTGAGAAAGAAATGGTTTGTATCTTTTTCCCACTTAATTTTCTTTCCTGTTTTGTACATTTTTCTAGATGCTTCAAAAAGACCCAAAGAAAAGAGGAATATAAGCACAGTCATTACTCATTATTTGTGGATTCTCTGTTTGCTAATTCACCTACTCCCTAAAATGTATTTATTACCCCCAAATCACTATTTGCAGCTCTCTCACAGTCATTTACAGACATGCACAGACTGGTGAAAAAACTTTGAGTCTTTCTACACACATGTACTCAGCTGAGATTGAACAAGGGAACTATAGACAAGGATCCTTTTTGTAGTCCATTTAGTCAACGTTTTTTGCATTTTTGTGCTTTTTAATGATGATTTCACTGTTAAAATGCTCCACAACCATAGTGTGGAAGTGCTATGTAGTGTTTTGAAGCACAAGAAGGCTGTGATATGCCTTACAGAGAAAATATGAGCAATGGATAAACATCGTTCAGGCATCAGTTATAGTGCTGTTGGTGTGAGTTAAATGTTAGTGCATCAACAAAATATATTAAATAAGGTGTCTTTAAACAGAAACACACATAAAACAAGGCTATGTATTAATCATCTGTGTGTCCAGAAGCCCACAGGAACCTAACCTTGTATTTCCCCTAGGGTCAATGATTCAGTATTCACTAATTCAGTGTAGTAGGGACTTTATATAGAACAAAACTCATATAAATAACTAGAATAAACCACACTTGTTTTTTAATTCCTGTGAAATAATTCATATGGGAAACCATCAAAGACCTGCTAAGTAATGATGAACATTAAAAAAATTAAACTGGGCCGGGTGTGGTGGCTCTTGCCTGTAATCCCAGCACTTTGGGAGGCCGAGGCGGGTGGATTACCTGAGGTCAGGAGTTCGAGATCAGCCTGGCCAACATGGGGAAACCCCGTCTCTACTGAAAACACAAAAATTAGCCAAGCATGGTGGCGGGTGCCTGTAATCCCAGCTACTTGGGAGGCTGAGGCAGGAGAATCGCTTGAACCCGGGAGGCAGAGGTTGCAGTGAGCAGATATCGCGCCATTGCACTGCAGCCTGGGGGACAAGAGTGAGACTTCATCTCAAAAAAAAAAAAAACAAATTAAACCCATATAATAGTACTACAGCACAAAACTTTATGCTATCTATTTTGTTCATTTGCTGTTTGTGACTATCATATTTATGTCAACTTTACCCTGTTTTATTGACAAGTACCCAGGAGCACTTGAAAATGTAGAAATTCCTTTAAACCCTCCCCCCTCCACCAGAAAACAAGCCTCCAGGGAATGCACATATATAAATATTAAGATAGTTGTTGTGTATAGTGCCCAAAATCCTATTTTCAGTTAGCAAACTATTGGTAATGTTGGAAAGCAAGGCATCCAGATAAGAAAGGGGAGATCTTGTGGCTTGGAGGCCATTCAAAGGCAGACTTAAGGTTGCGTCTTCTTAAGGGAGACATGTAGTGGGGGTCCCGTGTAACTGGAATTTCACCATGTCTAATCGTGTCTAGCAGACCAATGGAATGCTGTGCCTCAAGTTTCTTCTGAGAGGCCTATGAGCCTCATGAGATATCAACAAAAATGTTTCTTGGCCATCAGAAGAGAGAAGTGATTTTGAATATAGTATAGTTTTTGCTATTATAATCACTCCAAAACCAGGCCTGTTGGTGCTTGTGGTTCTTGAGAGAGGAGGCCATGGGGGGTGAAATTCAAGAGACCTGTTTACCTATAGGCACAAGAGCCCTCCTCAAGACTTGAGACAATGAAAGATGAGGAAGGGAGGTATTTTCCCTGCATCATCCAGCTTCAGCACCCAGCGGGAACTGGATCATGGGTGGTGTCTGGGTAGGAGGCTGTGGAGGCTAAAGTCAGTGGAGCAGAGTGGAAGCCTTGGGGTCGTGGGCTTATGCATGAGACACATGTGAGGTTCCGTGCAACACTTTACCAGCCAATTATAAGGGACTGAAGTCACTGCAAAACATAGGTTGCCATGATGTAAGCCCATTTGCATTTGCAGACTGAAAAGGCAAAAGGAAATATTCCTGATTCAAGTAAGTATGGGACTATACTTTTTTGATATTGGATCTGTTGGTCCTCATTTCTATGTTTCTCGATTGTCTAATGTGGTGGTTCCCCCTGACTGCACATTAGACCCACTCTAGAAAACCTTAAAAAAATGTCTGGACCCCCTCCAAAGATTCTGACTGAATTGATCAGGAGTAGAATTCTGGGCATCCGTGTGTCTAAAAGGCTTCTCAGATGATTCACATGTTTAGCCAGGGTTGACAAGTACTGTCCTAAAACATATTTCTGAGATTTTTCACACTCCATTTTCCAATGTGCTCCAAAGATAGCTTAGGCAGGAACCCTGCTACATGGCCACTTCAAAAAGATGCACCCCTGCATGGGCCTTTGAGTGCATCCACCTAGCGTGGCCTCCATGCCACTTCCCTGTCTGGTTACTCCACTATAAAAAATTCATCCGCGGACTCTCCAAGTCCTCAAGCTGTACATTGTCCTGCCTTTGTCCCAACAAGAATTGTTGGTGATAAGTCCGACAGTGGAGAGGCTGTGGCTGCAGAGTGGCAGGAAAGAGAGTAAGTAAAGGAGAAGACAGGACAAAGGAAGAGTAAAAGGGTACTTGAAAAGGACTGGAAAGGAGGGCCCTGCAAGGTGCTGCTTCTCACGTGCTCCCCACCAGCCTTCTGCATTCAAAGCAGGGAGGGAAGAGTGTGGGCTCAGAGCCATACATGCTTAAGTGCAAGCCTTGGGGCCCCATAATTTACTAGCTGCTTGATCTTGGAAAAATTACTTAATCTTGTACAGCTAAAAAGTGGTGGAGCTCTGGGATTCAGAACTGGTCTGTCTGGGTTAAAAGAGCCCAAACGTTTTTCCCAGCGTATACTACATCTCCCAATCCATACACACACAATAGACTTTTCAGTGAGGAATACAGTAATTAATAACTTCCCAGATGGTAGTTGAACTTGCTTTTAAATTCCTATAGTCAAATAAGTTGGGAGAATGTTACAAGAAGATTAGTTAGAAAGAAAATGGTGTCATTTATTATCAGCTCGAAACATTCAGAATTGTCATTTGTAAGAAATAAGCTCATTATTAATAGAAGATTACTTCTCTTGTCTTTGTGTGACCATTTTCTTAAATTAAAAATAACTTTTTTCCCTTACTGCAAAAGTAATGCATGTTCATCTAATACAAATTGGAAAATAAAGGTAAGCAAATAATACAAAATTAAACACACTCTTAATCCCTCCGCCCAGATCTAACTGCTGTAAATATGTTAGTATATATCCTTCTAGATTTTCTGTGCTTTTATACAGATTTTAAAAAATCATAGTATATGCTCTTTCACTTTACAATATCTGGTCAACAACATTCCATGTCAATACATTTGCCTTTACTACATTATTTTTTATATCTGCTTATTAAGGTGAACAATTTAGTCTGATTTTAAACCACATTTGTTTACTCAGATGTCAGAGATCCACAGATAAGGAAACATCTGAAGAGCCCAGGTGTGGCTATGTGGAGAGGTTGAGTAATTCAAAACAAAGTACAAAACATAAAAACAATTACGACCAGTTTGACAGTTGTACGTCTGTTTCCTACGGCCTTCTACCCACAAGTCTACCGCTGACTTCAAAGAAAAGTCAGCACAGAGGAGGTCCAGAGGATAAGGTGCAAAACGAGAATCAAACCCACGATAAGAGATTAAAGGAAGGTTGATCAAAGACCCAGCATAAAAGTGCTAGCCCGTGACTTGCCTTGGCCCATGGCCCCAAAATATTCATCAGAACAGAGAGCGCTCTTTGAAGTGATTGGATGCATCCATGCTCAGACAAGCTCGGTGGTCAAAGGGAAATTTTAAAGAGTGGCCCTGGAAGGAGTTAGCAAAGTTGCCTCTTCCTCTCTCTGCTCTGCACATCCCTCACAAACTGAATGTTATTTCTTTGGTTTGTTGTGCAGATGCAAGTAATTTAACTGTACTTTTTGCCCCCTGGGAGATGTGGGAAGTACAGTTGCTTTTACAGGATGGAGAATTTGCACTCATGATCAGAGAACTGAAACTTCCAGCCATCCTTTTTATTCAGAGTGTTTAAGGACCGGTGGTATTTCCAAATAGGCAGTAGGGCTTGTTCATGCTCTGCTTGTTCATTCTGCTTGTTCATTAATTGTTCACTACTTTTCTGAGTAGAGTTCATTGCTCTGTGATGTCGTGACAGAAGCTTTCATTTCCCCAGAAAGAGGAAGAAAACAGAAGTGCCCCCTCCAAATGGCATAGCCTTCACAACATTCAGTTTAAATGTTTTTAAGTATCTTAAAAGAGAAGAGTTATATATTGCTAAGTGTGTTCTTAGAATGTCTGTAGTTAGCACTTCTTTCAGGCTCTAGTTTTCTGGTTTTTCACTTTACATAATAATCCTCTATGTATTTAGGATCTTTATTTTTCACCTTTCCCGTTACCATATTTTTATTTCCTTCAAAATTCGAGGGAATTGCTTTTTCTCTCTACCTTTTTTAGATCAGTTTCCTAGTCTTTAACTGAGGTGTTAAAGTTGGAGTTTTTACTGGCAAGTCTTGACTGAGCACAGTGTTAGGCTCTGTGAGAGAGAATATGCATTTTCTATTTTCACAGAGCCACAGTCCAGGTGAGGAGATAATGAATTTGCATGCGAAAAATGAATATGTTGTGAGCTGATACAGACTTTTGTCAGGCCAGTCTTTCATAAAGAAGTATTTGGAATGGGCTTTGAAAATGCCTGAAATTCCAAAATGAAATAATATGAAATAATATTTATTAGTACGTATAGGGGCTGGGTAACATGCTCAAAGTTACAGAGGCAGAAAACCATAAGGTGTCTCACAGAAACTGAATATACTCATTTAACTGTGACAGATGGCTCATGCGAGAAAGTAGCAAAGGAGAAGCTTCATTCGTTCTATTAGTGTTAGAATGTGCTATGGAATCTGGATTTTATTATGATTGCAAAAGGATGGTATTGAAAACTTTGGAGTGGAAAATGACATTCTGAAGTATTTTGAGAATATGAATCTGCCTGTGGAGTACAGAATGGACATAGGTAAGAAGAGGCCTGGGGCCACAACTTTGTCAAAAGGGCACAAATAGAGTCTGAGAGAAAGAGGGTTTGAGACAGAATGGAAACAATGGGAAAGATGGAATGGACTCTGGAGGCAATGAACTGAGAACGGATCTGACCTCTGTGGCAAGGGGAGAGGAGGTGAGTGATGGGCTGTAAGAGAAGGTGGTAAGAAGACTCATAGATGATTCAGTCACACATAACCATAATTGCACCCCTGTTACCTAGGTGCTAGGTGATACAAAGAGATTAATCACATCAACAAAATGGTTAGGTAGACAGAGTAGGTATTTACAATGAAAAACTCAAAGTAGTCTCACATTGAAGACAGAGTGAGGCAATGAGCTCTCAGGAGTCAAGAGAAATATTCCTTGAAGTTTGGAGTCACAGAAGCATCAGGGAAGAGATGGAACATGAGCTGAATGTTGAATGATGGGTAGAATTTGGAAAGAATGACAGGGGCAATCAAAGCTGTGGGATGAGGAGGTTAAAGCAAAGACACAGGACTAAGAAAACACAAGGAGTGTTTGTGACACATTGACGAGGGCCATCTGGTTGGAACAGAGTTTGCATAAACCACCAAAAGAGGAAAAGGGGAAGGTAGGGTGATACGTTTATTCTGGTAAAGGTTTAGACACCAAGCTAAAGATTTTATTTTTATTTCTGAGATAGTCTCTCTCTGTCACCCAGGCTGGAGTGCAGTGGCGCTGTCTTGGTTCACTGCAACCTCCACCTCCCGAGTTCAAGCTATTCTCCTGCTTTAGCCTCCTGAGTAGCTGGGACTACAGGTGCCTGCCACCATGGGCAGCTAATTTTTGTATTTTTAGTAGAGTTGGTGTTTCATCATGTTGGCCAGGCTGGTATTGGACTCCCAAAGTGCTGGAATTACAGGCGTGAGCCACTGTGCCCTGCCAAGCTTTTATAATTTAACCTGGGAAATGTCAAGCCACTGACATTTTTCAGCAAGGTTGTGGCCAGTGTCAAAGAGTCTTTCGGGAAGTTTGGTTTGTGGAAGATGTGTAGAATATATCAAGATGAAGAACTGGGTGACTTCTAGTCAAAAAGGAATGATGATATAAACCAGGTACCAATCAGAATGAGAGGTATGGAAGAGGGGCAAAGGAATTACCAGTAAACCAAGGGGAAATAGAAATACAGTTTTACCCAAAGTTTCAAATCCAGGAGGCTATGATAGCAACTGTGCTGTATACTAAGGCATACAACTCATGAGATGACTGGTTTGGTAACAGTCCTGAGCGTTTTGTTTTAAAGAGCTGGGTCCTGAGGTTCCAGACAAGCAAACATGCCAAAAAAGTGGTTCAATGGGGGGGCTTGAGGCTCAGCTGGAAACCATGTTTACCATACCAAGTTTAAAAAATCCACACAGCTCAGCAATTGTTTGAAGTTTTTAATTAATTAATTAATTCATAAAGTGAAGTATTTTCAAAAGCTCATCTGAGAGCTTATATTCTCTTGATACAGATGAATTCTCAATTGCTCTTTTGTTTTCATTGCAAAACAGTTCAACTTGTATGAGACTCAAAGTGGGGAGGGCAGGAGCAGAATTTTCTCTGTTCCGGGTATAGACATTATGGGTATTGGGCCATATTCTCCTCTTCGTTGGTAATAATTCCTATTTTATACATCTTTCTATCAATTGCAGCTCCTACCAGAGTCAACGTCTTGATTGTAAATACTCAGTGTTGGTTGATTTGCATTTTCATCATAGTCCTGAAAGATAAAAGTGGACCTAAGAAAAACTAATAAGCTTACAGCCAGTTTTATAATGACAGACTCTATATAAACAAATGCAAATTGGATGTCAAATTTGAATTACAAAATTTATTTGAGCAAGGTCCAGGAAGTAATAACAGTGTCTTCAGATCTTTTCTAAAATGATAAAAATTCATTAACAATCTTCCATGGCTTGGAGTCTCAGAGACTTTCAAAAGTCACAGCACTTTGAAGAGCAGAGTTGGCAACTAAAGTTATCAGAGTGAAGAATGGCATGCTAACCTCAGGTGCAGGATGGCCAACTCAAAGTAGACCTCTATTCTTTGTTCTTCTGAGATAGGAACTAGCCAGAAACTTAGTTATTCAGGGGTGGGGTGGGAAGGCTGTGGGACCCAGGGTGGAAGGACCCACACAGTTCAAAATAAAACGAACCAACTATAGTGAAGGAAAAGAGAACTATACACAGATAGTATTCCTCATCCCCCTGAATTGACTTATATAAAAAAGAAAACGGAGCATCCGACAAATTGATGCAATCAAAAGGGAGCAATAAGCCTTTTTCTCCTTTTAAGCCTCTTAAGAAATAAACCCATCATTTTATCTAGTGTTTTCTCTGCTCTTGCAGCTGCTCGACTGATCCAAAACATGGATGCCACCACTGAGCCTTGTACAGACTTTTTCAAATATGCTTGCGGAGGCTGGTTGAAACGTAATGTCATTCCCGAGACCAGCTCCCGTTACGGCAACTTTGACATTTTAAGAGATGAACTAGAAGTCGTTTTGAAAGGTTAGTAGAGATTGTGTCTGTGCATCAAAGATTTCTCTCTTAATATGTTCATTTTTTAAATATACAATTGTTAGCCATTACAAGGAATGTCACAGAAGATTAAAAAGTTAATAATCCTTCCAGGATTTGTGTACCACCACCAAGTCACTCTGATAGTGGCAGACACTGAAATTAATGTGTTGACATCTCTTAGCATTCCTGCTTTCATTTGTAGGTATGCAAATAATAAAGCGGTATCATCTCTAGAGATGGCAGGTTTGGTTTTTTGTTTGTTTGTTTGTTTGTTTTTTGAGATGGAGTTTTGCTCTTGTCACCCAGGCTGGAGTGCAATGGTGCTATCTCGGCTCACTGCAACTTCTGCCTCCCAGATTTAAGCAATTCTCCTGCCTCAGCCTCCCAAGTAGCTGGGATTGTAGGCACCTGCCATTACACCCAGCTAATTTTTGTATTTTTAGTAGGGACGGGGTTTCACCATGTTGGCCAAGCTGGTCTTGAACTGACCTCAGGTGATCCACCAGCCTTGGCCTCCCAAAGTGCTGGGATTACAGGTGTGAGCCACTATGCCCAGCCAAGATGGTAGTTTTATGCCATTTTACAGAAGAAAAAAAATTAAATGATTGGCACAGAAACCTACTTCTGTAGTCTCCCTACCCAAACCCTGTGTTAAAGTTACTGTAAGATGTTACTAAGATTTGCCTTCCCAGCACAGGTATATTCTAACCTGGCTAAGACTGTCTCCCTGAGAAGTTAAGAAATCTAGCCAAGTCCCTCCTATCCTTTGTTCTCTGTTCTCCCCTCTTCTAGAAGTTATTTTGTAGAAGAACAATTTTTGCTACTTTTTAACATTGAAACAAGTAGGACAATTCAATTCATTCATTTGGAGCATGAACGGTACAGTCACACAAAGATAATTATTTTCCAGCCATCAAAAAGACTATTCATACTAAATTCCAAATTCCTCTGTGTTATTGTTTTTTTTTAATCTCAATTTCAAGAAAAGTAACTGTTACCTATGGCAGAGCCGTATGCATCACTGTTCATAAAAAAAAAAAAAAGATAATCTAGTCAAAAGGACTTTCATCTAAATTGGCTGATTAAACTGACTCCCAGTTCTGTGCTAGGAATGATAATCTGGTAAGGGGTTTGGTTTTTCCTATAATGTTTTGGAACTGGGGGGAGGAAATGAATGTACCTCCAGAAAAGCAAGGTTTTTTTTTAACTGAACCCACTTTGCAAATGTTAATTACTGCAAATGAGCAATTATGTTTGCATAGTGCAAATGAGCAATTATGTTGATGCATTTTATTAAATGTCCTATTTCAGATGTCCTTCAAGAACCCAAAACTGAAGATATAGTAGCAGTGCAGAAAGCAAAAGCATTGTACAGGTCTTGTATAAATGAATGTAAGTGCTCTTCATTTGATTTCATTAGGAGTATATATATATATATATTGGTGCCAAACTATGCCTAGATTTCTAATTGAATTTATGTTTGTTGTTTCCAAAAGCTGCTATTGATAGCAGAGGTGGAGAACCTCTACTCAAACTGTTACCAGACATATATGGGTGGCCAGTAGCAACAGAAAACTGGGAGCAAAAATATGGTAAGGCAATTTTCCTACTAAAAAAGAAATTTCCATGTAAAATCTATGTTATAATATCATTAGTGAACTAAAGCTTCTAAAGATATATTTTATCTTTTATTGCTTTAGGTGCTTCTTGGACAGCTGAAAAAGCTATTGCACAACTGAATTCTAAATATGGGAAAAAAGTCCTTATTAATTTGTTTGTTGGCACTGATGATAAGAATTCTGTGAATCATGTAATTCATGTAAGTTTGTGTGTCAAATAACTAAAGTTACCTTTAAATTGTAATAAAACTTCCACATACATTGTTGTTATTGATATTTAGAAATAATGCTATTTTCAATTGAATTGAATAAGCAAGGAGGTAGTATATCCATGCTCTGTCCCTAATACCTGGAGTTCCAATTTTGAAAGTATTTTCTTAATGCTGTTTTCGACATTCACCCCTTGCTTCTGCTACCTCTGTTTTAGATACCTCTCCCTTCACAAAACAAATGATAAGAAGGGCTCCAGGCCCCTCCTATTCAGAAAAAGTTCCTAATTTCTTTGTATAGTACTTGAAAGGAGCATGCTTTCGTTTATAGAAGTAATGCAGGTCTAGAAACCAAAAAATAATAATTGCTTTCAAAAAGAACACAGAAAAGGGATTTTAAACATCATTTTTTTCCTCACTAAAGAGTATCTGTACTTTTTTCTCAACTAAAGGTAAATAAAATGCCTTTCTTTTAAAATGGATTTATTGTATTTTTACAAATGTAAACAATTTGATTTAGGTGTCACCTAAGACTAGATTAATGACTATGTTTGGAATGTACTGAAAAATATAAAGAGTTTTTCTTTCTTCCTTTTTTTTTTTGTTTTTTTTTTTTTTTGGTTTCCTGTGTAAGAAATTATACAAAAAATTGCAGGCTACTGAATCACCTAATCATATCTGTGTCACTATTGCATAAATCTTTATGGTCGTTTTTGTTAAAATCATGAAAGGAATTGAACCCAAATCTCCTGCAGTGGGCTCTCTCTCTTCTGAAACTTTCTCCTTGCAGGATCACCTTGAGGACCAGGGGGTGGGGAAGGATCAGGGCCCTTCATGTGGAGATATCTTCTGGCTCTTTCCATACCAGTTCTTTGGGTTATGTTTTCTTTTCTATTGGCCTAGGCTCTCCACAGCTGCTAGGATTCTCTCTTTAACCCAGAAATGCTCTGTTTGGCCTCCACACTCATGTTGCCATGCAGTGAGTAGGAAACAATCTTGCAAAGCTGCAGTATGCCCAGATAGCTCCCACTTGGGTATTAAACATGGACCAGACACGTTAGCGCAAAACTGAGTTTCCTCTTTCACACCCTTAACTGCTATCTGGGTCTACTGAGGTTCTTCTGAGCAGAGCAGCTTTGAGGAGAACCAAGGAGAAGTCGCCTCCATTCCCTTAGGGTAGAGAATCTTAAAAAACATTTTCTGGCACAAGTTACATTAGCTAAAAGATTCTGGAGTTACCTTAGAGGTTTTCCACTTCTCCCCTTCTCCCCATCCATCCAAATCAACTTGAAGAATATTAACCCACTCCCACCAATGAAAGGGGATCCCAACTAAGGGTGGAAGCAGATGAGAATGTTCCCAGGGGAGCACATTAGAATCTCAGGAAGCTGAGAAATCTGTGAATATGTAATTTAGAAATTTCCACGTCCTAGAATCTAACATGTTTTTGTTCACTTGCACCTTCTGCTCTGCATTAAAAATCCCTCCTAGTAAATCTTTTGTTCACTTTCTTTTGTTTTCCTTAAATATCTGCAGCACAGTCCTCCAGATTATCTAACTGCCCGTTAGTATAACACTTACAAGTAGTGTAGAAAGCATTTCCTAACTAGGTATTTATTGAGTGTCTGATGGTCACCCCATAAACAGCAAGAGTAGGATCTTTCACATACATAGATAGACATGCTTGTATTTTTCAAACTTTTCTATATTCACTGAATGATTTATTTTCTTTTATGTATATTTTTTATAGATTGACCAACCTCGACTTGGCCTCCCTTCTAGAGATTACTATGAATGCACTGGAATCTATAAAGAGGTAAAAAGAAAAAAAATAATCAAAACCAAACTACAAAATGATCTGGTGTAAACCTACAAGTAATGAAAAAGATAAAGCCAAATTAAATTTAGCCCTCTGATGTTTTTCATTCATGACAGGGACTTAAAATCACACATAATAGTGAGCTGTCTTTGATAGAATGAACATTCTCAATAGAATGAATGAAGGTATTTTACAAAACTAGGAAACTTGAAATTCCTTATTTGTATCTTGGTTTTTAGTATTTAAAACATATGATCGATTTTGAAAAGTTAATTTAAAATATTTTAATCCACCTGTAAACTGCATTATTTAAAAAATGAAAAGATTTATCATGGTCTAGGGTGGTGCTGGTGAGGACCAGAGGGTCAGTGAGAGATACACTCTGCAGCATCCTTCTGGAACCATCTGATTTGACTGTCAGAGAACTATGCAGGTAGTGACATTGGGCTCAGACAAACTTTTGCAGCTACCTTGTGACTCTAACATTGGCCAGGTAGCCAGTGGGCATCATATCCCATAGTGGACGTTTGGATGTTCTGGAGTGCTTTCTTATTGTCTCACAACCTTGCCTCCCTTGGGCTGATGTTCACGTGCTCTTTTTTTTTTTTTTTTTTTATTATACTTTAAGTTTTAGGGTACATGTGCACATTGTGCAGGTTAGTTACATATGTATACATGTGCCATGCTGGTGCGCTGCACCCACTAACTCGTCATCTAGCATTAGGTATATCTCCCAATGCTATCCCTCCCCCCTCCCCCCACCCCACCACAGTCCCCAGAGTGTGATATTCCCCTTCCTGTGTCCATGTGATCTCATTGTTCAATTCCCACCTATGAGTGAGAATATGCGGTGTTTGGTTTTTTGTTCTTGCGATAGTTTACTGAGAATGATTTCCAATTTCATCCATGTCCCTACAAAGGACATGAACTCATCATTTTTTATGGCTGCATAGTATTCCATGGTGTATATGTGCCACATTTTCTTAATCCAGTCTATCATTGTTGGACATTTGGGTTGGTTCCAAGTCTTTGCTATTGTGAATAATGCCGCAATAAACATACATGTGCATGTGTCTTTATAGCAGCATGATTTATAGTCATTTGGGTATATACCCAGTAATGGGATGGCTGGGTCAAATGGTATTTCTAGTTCTAGATCCCTGAGGAATCGCCACACTGACTTCCACAATGGATGAACTAGTTTACAGTCCCACCAACAGTGTAAAAGTGTTCCTATTTCTCCACATCCTCTCCAGCACCTGTTGTTTCCTGACTTTTTAATGATTGCCATTCTAACTGGTGTGAGATGGTATCTCATTGTGGTTTTGATTTGCATTTCTCTGATGGCCAGTGATGATGAGCATTTTTTCATGTGTTTTTTGGCTGCATAAATGTCTTCTTTTGAGAAGTGTCTGTTCATGTCCTTCGCCCACTTTTTGATGGGGTTGTTTGTTTTTTTCTTGTAAATTTGTTTAAGTTCATTGTAGATTCTGGATATTAGCCCTTTGTCAGATGAGTAGGTTGCGAAAATTTTCTCCCATTTTGTAAGTTGCCTGTTCACTCTGATGGTAGTTTCTTTTGCTGTGCAGAAGCTCTTTAGTTTAATTAGATCCCATTTGTCAATTTTGGCTTTTGTTGCCATTGCTTTTGGTGTTTTGGACATGAAGTCCTTGCCCATGCCTATGTCCTGAATGGTCATGCCTAGGTTTTCTTCTAGGGTTTTTATGGTTTTAGGTCTAACGTTTAAATCTTTAATCCATCTTGAATTGATTTTTGTATAAGGTGTAAAGAAGGGATCCAGTTTCAGCTTCCTACATATGGCTAGCCAGTTTTCCCAGCACCATTTATTAAATAGGGAATCCTTTCCCCATTGCTTGTTTTTCTCAGGTTTGTCAAAGATCAGATAGTTGTAGGTATGCGGCATTATTTCTGAGGGCTCTGTTCTGTTCCATTGATCTATATCTCTGTTTTGGTACCAGTACCATGCTGTTTTGGTTACTGTAGCCTTGTAGTATAGTTTGAAGTCAGGTAGTGTGATGCCTCCAGCTTTGTTCTTTTGGCTTAGGATTGACTTGGCAATGCGGGCTCTTTTTTGGTTCCATATGAACTTTAAAGTAGTTTTTTCCAATTCTGTGAAGAAAGTCATTGGTAGCTTGATGGGGATGGCATTGAATCTGTAAATTACCTTGGGCAGTATGGCCATTTTCACGATATTGATTCTTCCTACCCATGAGCATGAAATGTTCTTCCATTTGTTTGTATCCTCTTTTATTTCCTTGAGCAGTGGTTTGTAGTTCTCCTTGAAGAGGTCCTTCACATCCCTTGTAAGTTGGATTCCTAGGTATTTTATTCTCTTTGAAGCAATTGTGAATGGGAGTTCACTCATGATTTGGCTCTCTGTTTGTCTGTTATTGGTGTATAAGAATGCTTGTGATTTTTGTACATTGATTTTGTATCCTGAGACTTTGCTGAAGTTGCTTATCAGCTTAAGGAGATTTTGGGCTGAGACAATGGGGTTTTCTAGATATACAATCATGTCTTCTGCAAACAGGGACAATTTGACTTCCTCTTTTCCTAATTGGATACCCTTTATTTCCTTCTCTTGCCTAATTGCCCTGGCCAGAACTTCCAACACTATGTTGAATAGGAGTGGTGAGAGAGGACATCCCTGTCTTGTGCCAGTTTTCAAAGGGAATGCTTCCAGTTTTTGCCCATTCAGTATGATATTGGCTGTGGGTTTGTCATAGATAGCTCTTATTATTTTGAAATACGTCCCATCAATACCTAATTTCTTGAGAGTTTTTAGCATGAAGGGTTGTTGAATTTTGTCAAAGGCCTTTTCTGCATCTATTGAGATAATCATGTGGTTTTTGTCTTTGGCTCTGTTTATATGCTGGATTACATTTATTGATTTGCGTATATTGAACCAGCCTTGCATCCCAGGGATGAAGCCCACTTGATCATGGTGGATAAGCTTTTTGATGTGCTGCTGGATTCGGTTTGCCAGTATTTTATTGAGGATTTTTGCATCAATGTTCATCAAGGATATTGGTCTAAAATTCTCTTTTTTGGTTGTGTCTCTGCCCAGCTTTGGTATCAGAATGATGCTGGCCTCATAAAATGAGTTAGGGAGGATTCCCTCTTTTTCTATTGATTGGAATAGTTTCAGAAGGAATGGTACCAGTTCTTCCTTGTACCTCTGGTAGAATTCGGCTGTGAATCCATCTGGTCCTGGACTCTTTTTGGTTGGTAAACTATTGATTATTGCCACAATTTCAGCTCCTGTTATTGGTCTATTCAGAGATTCAACTTCTTCCTGGTTTAGTCTTGGGAGAGTGTATGTGTCGAGGAATTTATCCATTTCTTCTAGATTTTCTAGTTTATTTGCGTAGAGGTGTTTATAGTATTCTCTGATGGTAGTTTGTATTTCTGTAGGATCGGTGGTGATATCCCCTTTATCATTTTTTATTGTGTCTATTTGATTCTTCTCTCTTTTTTTCTTTATTAGTCTTACTAGCGGTCTATCAATTTTGTTGATCCTTTCAAAAAACCAGCTCCTGGATTCATTAATTTTTTGAAGGGTTTTTTGTGTCTCTATTTCCTTCAGTTCTGCTCTGATTTTAGTTATTTCTTGCCTTCTGCTAGCTTTTGAATGTGTTTGCTCTTGCTTTTCTAGTTCTTTTAATTGTGATGTTAGGGTGTCAATTTTGGATCTTTCCTGCTTTCTCTTGTGGGCATTTAGTGCTATAAATTTCCCTCTACACACTGCTTTGAATGCATCCCAGAGATTCTGGTATGTTGTGTCTTTGTTCTCGTTGGTTTCAAAGAACATCTTTATTTCTGCCTTCATTTCGTTATGTACCCAGTAGTCATTCAGGAGCAGGTTGTTCAGTTTCCATGTAGTTGAGCGGCTTTGAGTGAGATTCTTAATCCTGAGTTCTAGTTTGATTGCACTGTGGTCTGAGAGATAGTTTTTTATAATTTCTGTTCTTTTACATTTGCTGAGGAGAGCTTTACTTCCAACTATGTGGTCAATTTTGGAATAGGTGTGGTGTGGTGCTGAAAAAAATGTATATTCTGTTGATTTGGGGTGGAGAGTTCTGTAGATGTCTATTAGGTCCGCTTGGTGCAGAGCTGAGTTCAATTCCTGGGTATCCTTGTTGACTTTCTGTCTCGTTGATGTGTCTAATGTTGACAGTGGGGTGTTAAAGTCTCCCATTATTAATGCGTGGGAGTCTAAGTCTCTTTGTAGGTCACTCAGGACTTGCTTTATGAATCTGGGTGCTCCTGTATTGGGTGCATATATATTTAGGATAGTTAGCTCTTCTTGTTGAATTGATCCCTTTACCATTATGTAATGGCCTTCTTTGTCTCTTTTGATCTTTGTTGGTTTAAAGTCTGTTTTATCAGAGACTAGGATTGCAACCCCTGCCTTTTTTTGTTTTCCATTTGCTTGGTAGATCTTCCTCCATCCTTTTATTTTGAGCCTATGTGTGTCTCTGCATGTGAGATGGGTTTCCTGAATACAGCACACTGATGGGTCTTGACTGTTTATCCAATTTGCCAGTCTGTGTCTTTTAATTGGAGCATTTAGTCCATTTACATTTAAAGTTAATATTGTTATGTGTGAATTTGATCCTGTCATTATGATGTTAGCTGGTGATTTTGCTCGTTAGTTGATGCAGTTTCTTCCTAGTCTCGATGGTCTTTACATTTTGGCATGATTTTGCAGCGGCTGGTACCGGTTGTTCCTTTCCATGTTTAGCACTTCCTTCAGGAGCTCTTTTAGGGCAGGCCTGGTGGTGACAAAATCTCTCAGCATTTGCTTGTCTGTAAAGTATTTTATTTCTCCTTCACTTATGAAGCTTAGTTTGGCTGGATATGAAATTCTGGGTTGAAAATTCTTTTCTTTAAGAATGTTGAATACTGGCCCCCACTCTCTTCTGGCTTGTAGGGTTTCTGCCGAGAGATCCGTTGTTAGTCTGATGGGCTTCCCTTTGAGGGTAACCCGACCTTTCTCTCTAGCTGCCCTTAACATTTTTTCCTTCATTTCAACTTTGGTGAATCTGACAATTATGTGTCTTGGAGTTGCTCTTCTCGAGGAGTATCTTTGTGGCGTTCTCTGTATTTCCTGAATCTGAACGTTGGCCTGCCTTGCTAGATTGGGGAAGTTCTCCTGGATAATATCCTGCAGAGTGTTTTCCAACTTGGTTCCATTCTCCCCATCACTTTCAGGTATACCAATCAGACGTAGATTTGGTGTTTTCACATAGTCCCATATTTCTTGGAGGCTTTGCTCATTTCTTTTTATTCGTTTTTCTCTAAACTTCCCTTCTCGCTTCATTTCATTCATTTCATCTTCCATTGCTGATACCCTTTCTTCCAGTTGATCGCATCAGCTCCTGAGGCTTCTGCATTCTTCACGTAGTTCTCAAGCCTTGGTTTTCAGCTCCATCAGCTCCTTTAAGCACTTCTCTGTATTGGTTATTCTAGTTATACATTCTTCTAAATTTTTTTGAAAGTTTTCAACTTCTTTGCCTTTGGTTTGAATGTCCTCCTGTAGCTCAGAGTAATTTGATCGTCTGAAGCCTTCTTCTCTCAGCTCGTCAAAGTCATTCTCCATCCAGCTTTGTTCCGTTGCTGGTGAGGAACTGCGTTCCTTTGGAGGAGGAGAGACGCTCTGCGTTTTAGAGTTTCCAGTTTTTCTGTTCTGTTTTTTCCCCATCTTTGTGCTTTTATCTACTTTTGGTCTTTGATGATGATGATGTACAGATGGGTTTTTGGTGTGGATGTCCTTTCTGTTTGTTAGTTTTCCTTCTAACAGACAGGACCCTCAGCTGCAGGTCTGTTGGAATACCCTGCCGTGTGAGGTGTCAGTGTGCCCCTGCTGGGGGGTGCCTCCCAGTTAGGCTGCTCGGGGGTCAGGGGTCAGGGACCCACTTGAGGAGGCAGTCTGCCGGTTCTCAGATCTCCAGCTGTGTGCTGGGAGAACCACTGCTCTCTTCAAAGCTGTCAGACAGGGACATTTAAGTCTGCAGAGGTTACTGCTGTCTTTTTGTTTGTCTGTGCCCTGCCCCCAGAGGTGGAGCCTATAGTGGCAGGCAGGCCTCCTTGAGCTGTGGTGGACTCCACCCAGTTCGAGCTTCCGGGCTGCTTTGTTTACCTAAGCAAGCCTGGGCAATGGCAGGCGCCCCTCCCCCAGCCTCGCTGCCGCCTTGCAGTTTGATCTCAGACTGCTGTGCTAGCAATCAGCGAGATTCCGTGGGCGTAGGACCCTCCGAGCCAGGTGTGGGATATAGTCTCGTGGTGCGCCGTTTTTAAGCCGGTCTGAAAAGCGCAATATTCGGGTGGGAGTGACCCGATTTTCCAGGTGCGTCCGTCACCCCTTTCTTTGACTTGGAAAGGGAACTCCCTGACCCCTTGCGCTTCCCAGGTGAGGCAATGCCTCGCCCTGCTTCGGCTCACGCACGGTGCGTGCACCCACTGGCCTGCGCCCACTGTCTGGGACTCCCTAGTGAGATGAACCCGGTACCTCAGATGGAAATGCGGAAATCACCCATCTTCTGCGTTGCTCACGCTGGGAGCTGTAGACTGGAGCTGTTCCTATTCGGCCAACTTGGCTCCTCCTCCTTTTTTTTTTTTTTTTTTTTTTTTTTTTGAGACAGAGTCTTGCTCTGTCCTGTCACCCAGGCTAGAGTGCAGTGGCGCAATCTTGGGTCACTGCAACCTCCGCCTCCCTGGTTCAAGCAATTCTCCCAGCCTCGGCCTCCTGAGTACCTGGGATTACAGGTGCCCGCCACCGCGCCCAGCTAATTTTTGTATTTTTAGTAGAGACGGGGTTTCACCATTTTGGCCAGTGTGGTCTCGAACTCCTGACTTTGTGGTCCACCTGCCTCGGCCCCCTAAAGTGCTGGGATTACAGATGTGAGCCACCACACCTGGCCCATGTGCTTTTCTTACAGAAAGTAAGGAACAGCAGGAGACAAAACTAATAATCTTACACGTTATTAGATATTGGGGAAAGGTGTTGGTTCTACAAAGGTTTGTCTTATAATTATTTTGTAGCTCAAAAGTAAGTTATCTTTGATGATCCTAATGGCTCACAGTGTAGTGATGTGACTAAAATTACATTTTAGTTAAAATTACTAGCTAAATATGTTTATGATTGGCATTTATTTTGCCAAATTATGAAGTTCGAATAACATGGAATGAATTCACTGTAAGGTATCTTTTTGAATGACTACACAACACTGAAATGAAGAAAAAGATATATCATCAAAGGCCACAATTAATAGCACAGATAAATACATGGGTATGGGATATTTGAGTTCAGTACAATCTAGTTGCTGTGTGGGGTACAGCTACTGGCTTTAAGAGCAATGCAGCTGCTTTCTGTTACAGATTTGAAAGTGATTGAGGAATTTTGGTTCACTATTGTACATTTTTATCACCATGAACTGGGATGCTTTTCATATTTAGGATTGTGTTCTTATATCAAATTTTTCAAATCCTATGATACATATTTTTTTTACATTTTAATTCTGATATCAAGGTATACCTGGCAGTCGATGTATATATTTAAGGCAGTAAAAGCTTTTTTTTTTTCATTGTTAAGATGTTGCATTTTTGCATTTTATACTCAATGCTATCCCATAATCTCAAACAGGTCACAAACTGGCAGTCTTTGGCTTGAATCTGATATAGAAGCATTTTTGTTTAACCTGTAGTGTTTTTTTTTAAATTTTGAATTAGTTGTCAATATTTTTCAAAATTGAAAGATTTCATTTGAGAATCCAGATTTCTTAGTAAGTCAGTAGAATTTGAGCCCCTAGCTTGCATTCTTATATGGCAGCAATTGACCAGAGTGGTGTTGTGGTTGCTCCTTTTAGAAAGGGCATTTATTGGCTGGGCGCAGTGGCTCATGCCTGTAATCTCTGCACTTTGGGAGGCCAAGGCGGGTGGATCACCTGAGGTCGGGAGATCGAGACCAGCCTGACCACCATGGAGAAACCCCATCTCTACTAAAAATACAAAATTAGCCGGGCGTGGTTCTGCATGCCTGTAATCCCAGCTACTTGGGAACTTGGGAGGCTGAGGCAGGAGAATCGCTTGAACCCAGGAGATAAAGGTTGCAGTGAGCCAAGATCGTGCCATTGGACTCCAGCCTGGGCAACAAGAGCGAAACTCCATCTCAAAAAAAAAAAAAAAAAAGAAAGGGCATTTGTTCTCCAGGTTTGAACAGTTTTGAACAGTCCTCATCAACATGATTCATCGATTTATATTGACTTATCGGCTCCTGTAGGCACTTGATTTTGCATATTAGTCTGGTCTTGGCTAAGCCACAGCAGTAAAAACACAAATACAGTAGCTCAAACAAGAAAAAGTTTACTTCTGTCTGTCATGCCAGTCTGGAAGTAGGCAGGCCATCCAGATGAGGCAGGAAGCTCTGCTCCATGGGAATGTCTGGGAGCCGGCTTTCTTTGATTTTTTGCTCTAACATCAACCTCCTCTGGTGTTTTTCTTAGTCTATTTGGTCAAAGTTGGTTCACCAGTGCCCTATTCACATGTCAGGCCACAGGAAGAAGAAAAGAGAGAAAGTGGTAGACAAATAGTTAACCTTTATGTAAATGGCGCAGAACTTGCATACATTCCGTTGCTTAAAACATTGTCATGTGGCCACAACTAAATATAAAGGAGGCAGGAAAATGTAGTCTTGAGCAGTGGCCATGTCTGTGTCTTGTTAAAACTTGGTTGGCAGAGAGGAAGGTCGTATCATTTAAAAGATGAGGAGTACATATACCAATGTCATTTAGCATACTCTGCCACAGTTTACATCCACTGATCTAGGGAATACTGTATTTGTGATCAAATAACACAGTGGTGATCAAATCTAGAATCAGTAATATGTTTATAGAGTTTATGAGTGAGAAATCTGAGTCTCAGAAGTTTGCTGTCAACACTCAGCAGAACAGTAGTATAGTGGCAAACTTTGGTCCTTCTCTCTTCTTCATTCTACTACATTATTACAATTTCTTAAGAGTTGGTACTTCATACTAGTAGAGTTCTTTGAATGAGCAAATGATAGAAGAAACTAACCTGCACTGGCACTTACAGCCCGGAAGTTATTCTCAGCTTAATTAGGTGCTCTTCAACGATCTGAATCAGACTAGCAAACACGCAGCATGCTTGCTGCCTTGCTCCTCTTCCATAACTATGTACTTTTGGTGACATCCTTCTTTCCTGCTAACCTGAGATCTCAGAATTCTTCTTAAGGTAGTGCTTCAAGCTGTAAGCAATCTCCTTTCAGTGGAAGGGAGTTGCATAAAAATAAAAGTTACATGTCATCCCAGAAATGGGTAATTATCTGAATATTTCTGCACCCTCTCCCTTTTTTTAAATCCATTCTTTTGGGCATGGGGGTGAGAGCGTGTGTAGTTACAGTAAGAATTCCAATGTTACCCTTATTTTTCCCATGATATTTTCTACTCTCTCCTAATCCCTACCACCTGCAATCCCTCAGTTTCCCCTGCATTTCTGGCAAAATTCTAGTTTTTCCACTACTCTGCTATCTTTGAAAGATGTCAACCACCTTAAGTATTTCTGTCTTGTGTCTTATTGCTTCATGAACAAAAAATGGTGCGAAGTGTAGAATAACAAGTTTACCTTCAGTAGAGGAGTTATAAATCTGGAAGGAATGTTAATGTCAGTGTATCATTGGCCTTCAATGATTTTCTCCCTTATAGGCTTTTATATATGCTTTTCCCTTTGCCTAGAACTTGCCCCCCACACACACCACCTGCCTACACTCTTTCCTCTAATATAGTTTTCCTAGCACCCAGGTTTCTGTATACTTCTTATTTAATGTCTTTTTTTTTCTATAAAACTGTAAATGAAGTGGAAGCAATGCTGTGTCTCATTGCCCTTTGCTCTTTTTCTAATACCTACCAAAGTTTCTGGCCCTTAAATACTACAGAATCAGCAAATGAATGATTGAGGGGGAAGATAGCAGGGAAGAGAGGAAACAAAAGAAAGAAGAACCCAATCTTTTGGAAGCCCTCCTTGTTTCCTTCCCTTGATTCCGGGAAACATGAGCTCTAGGGCATCAATAGCTAATAGCATACATTTCTTTAGCATTTTACAAACTCTGTGTTCTCTTTTCTCTTTTCAATCCCCAGTTACTTCTTTGCTAAACTCAGTTTGCCTGAGGTATATTTATACAATCAATGGGTATCATACATTTGCAGTTTACATTATTTTATTGGAAATAATCAAGAGAAGTTTTGAGAATTGGCATAGGGTCACCAACTTTTTTTGTCAAAGAAAGATGGTCTTAGACCAGAGAGGTCTGGCTTCCTTGCCCGTCGCTTTAGCCTATAATTTTAAAACTTTAGTGTGGGGTCTACCTTCTGCAGATATGCCTCAGAGGCTGAGGATCACAGAGGGTCACATTCCCTCTTCAGTCAAAAGTACTCTAATCGTAGGTCTCCTTTATCAGATTATTAACTCAGCCTGTTTCCCCAGGTCTTCTTTGATCCTTCCTTCCAGGATATCCAGGTCATCCAGAGGTATCATCTCCCATAATCTTAAAACCAAACTTCTTATCGACTATGAAAATAGCCCCCACAATTACTAAGAAGATCATTTCACTTTATAGAAGTCATTTTTTTTTTGCTTTGGATACCCTCATAATGGAATTTTTGTATTGTAATATTTGATTATTATTATAATCTAGAAAGGGAAAGTGATAGAGAACAGTTGCATCATCTCAGAAAGGGGCCCACATTCACCGTGTCTGCTCTTCCTAACAAACTGTTCTCAAGATGTTCTCATCAAGGAGCTTCTTGTGCTATATCTTTGTTAAAGAGATGGAGCCTGAGTTCTGAGGTATTCTGATTATCTGAAGAGATTACTTAATGACACAATGCTATCTCAAAGAACAGAAGTAGGGAGATTCAAGACAATTCTATTCCTTACAGAGGTACAAATTTCTATGCTAGGAAAACAATACGAAAGATACACATGGCCCATAAACATAACCATTCCCATTCACAAAATTTGTAAGTGAAACCAACCAGCAACCTCATGTGAGAATGTTCTTCTATATTGATTCACTGAGAGAAATGAGGACCTTAATTTTCTTAAGAAATCACCCACCTTCAGAAGAGTCTGAACTCTGTATTGGGGGTGAATTGGAATTGGTCTCAAAGCTTCCCTTTCTCTACCTTCTTAGCTTTTCAAGAGCAATTGTTATCTTACTTTGTTGTCCTTCATAAGGAAATCTGAAGATTAGGAATCCAAAATATTTGAGCATAATTACATAATAGATATGTTTATGCTCTGTACTGATGTTTGCCTGAGAAGGAGCAATAAGTGAGGTTAGTGGTTTCCAACTCTAAGGACTACTTTGTGTGTGCCAATTACAGGGCTCTGTGCAGAAACACCTCACATGTACACACACTTCAAAAGCCACTATGATTTATTTTTACTTGTGCATTTATACATCCACAAAACATTTCTTTGAGTAGAGCATTTCAGGTCTAAAAGAAAAGTAAGAAAACCACTCAGGCTAGAGTTTGAGAGCATAAGGAGGCGGGAAAGGAACTGGAGAGTAGAAGCTACAGGGTATACTGCTGCAGGGCATGGCTAGGGAGAAGAAGCCAGAGTTATAAAGAAGTGTAGAGCCTTCACAAAATCTGAGGTTCATAAAAATAGAGACATTTTAGGGATGAGGATAGAGGACTTGGAACATGGGCACAATGGACTGAAGCCAGAAAGCGATGACCCAGAGTCTGTGCTCCTAGATCAGAAAAGCCAGGAGAAGTCTCCAAATTATATGTACCTGGGAAAGAACACAAGCTGAGATTGGCTATCCTGTAGATGAGCAGGTGCAAGCTGGAACTGGGATTAAACAAGAGGGGATTTTCTTTGTCCACCTACCCAATGTACAAGCTGAGAGAAACTGTTCAGGACTTGAGCTAAGAATAGAAGTTCCGAGGAAATAGGAAGTGAGAGAAACTTAATATATTTACAATTTAACTTCATTTTTTTTTAATTCAACAGATCTTCATTGAGCTTATGCTATGTGACAGATACTTTTCTAGGCAGTAGACATTCCAAGGAAACAAGGTCCTTGTTCTCATGGAACTCATGTTCTAATGGGAAGAGATAGACAATAAATAACCAAGTAAATAATTTAAGGAAATGAGACAAATTGTGAGTGTTATAAAGAAAATAAATCAAGGTGATAGAATAATAAGTGACTGGGGTAAGGCATGGGTGATTCAATTTGGCTTGCTGAAACCATCTCTGGCTGTTGTTTGTAGAATGTGTTTTAATGGAAGCAGAAAGATCAGAGAAGGCCACATGGTAATTCATGTGAAAGATAACGATGGACTCAGATGGCAGCAAGTCAGATAGAGAAATCTGAGCAGACCTAAGATAATCTTGTGTAGGTGGCTCTATCATTATAGGGAAACAGTTTGTGTACTTTAAACTGCTCGGCCAATATGTGCCTCAGTGATACGTGGCGGAGCTTGTCTCACTGCATAACACAGCTATGACATGATAAGACAGGCCCTGCAAGGGAAACTGCTGACCTCACTTTGTCCTTTCTGGGTACCAAGTGACTAATAGTCAGAAGGTTTCACTCAGTTCAGTAATCTGTGTTTAAGAAAACAAAAGGGGGCTTTTAAACATGAGATTTAGTGAATATGACAGAGAATTTTTGAGATCAACTGAACTCAGTTTGTAAAAAGAGCTAGATTCAGCCCCCCAAGCATGGAATAAACCTTGGAAGTTATGCAAGAAGTTGTACAAATCTTCAGGTTCTTATTGATAACCTGATGAAAGCCCCAAACAGTCCCTATGCTGGTCCAAGTTTGGGTCCTCTTAGGTCCCACGTTCCTCCTGCTCTAGCGTCCTGCTCCACTGGGGGCTATTTTTTATTTCCAGTGCCCAGAAATGGCTGTGTGACTATATGTTTGCAGTCTGTTGGAGGGAAGCAGGTCTCTCTGCTAACAACTGCACACTAGCTGACATGCTGCTTAAATTGAGAAATGTTTCTAAGCTTTTTTGGTAGGAAATAATCTTTCCTGCTTAGTCTCCCTCTGTGTTCCCCCAGCAAACTTCTTGTGTAGCATTATTAAATATTCCCCAACATCAGTGGCCAAGAATGACACAATTCTGTGACTCCTCAGTCACTTCATGCTCCACATTAAGTGGAGTTTCTTCCTAGAATGGGGAAGGCAGAACATTGGTAAGAGCTAGGTGTCTCAGAATCTTTGGAAATAAAATCCCTGATCCATAGGTAGTTGGCTCGCTAGGTTACCCAGATATCAATCTGACAGGACAGTTTTCTGTTCCTCCCTGGGTCTTGATTGTCATTCATTAGGAATGAAATTAAAGTTTGAAGGACAGTAGTCAAATGGCATTCATTTGCTCTCTTCCTCTTTGGCAAATCTAACAAACATCAGGCTTTTTCCAGGCAGGAAGAGCCTCATTTCTAAAGAGCCAATTTATAAATATCATTACCTGATTCTGCAAAATGAAGATAGTCCTAACTAGAGTAACTATCCATGGTGTTGGGTGTTAGTAAATATCATCTCATTGGTAGTGTGTGATTTTAAAACCCACAAAACTGCTATTATATGGATTTTATCTAACTGTTTAAAACCGATGATCACCTTTGAAACTACTGTTACGAGTACTAGGACTTACAATTTTTTTTTTAAGAAAAGCTACATAAATGTTTTGGTGGATTCTTCTTCACGTAAACAATCATTGATTTGCTATCTCAGAGCTTCAAGAAATCTACCTTATGACTGTCAAAAATGAGAGCTGACTCTGGCCTCTGTTGTAATAACTAATTGCTCTCTCAGTCACACACACACAAAATTAAATTTGGGTTTAAAAAGTATCCTGGCCAATCTACTTTTTAAGTGTTAAAATACATGTTGATTTGCCTGACGTGGTGGCTCATGCTTGTATTCCCAGCACTTTGGGACTCAGAGGTGGTGGATCACCTGGGGTCAGGAGTTCAAGACCAGCCTGACCAACGTAGTGAAACCCCGTCTCTACTAAATACAAAAAATTAGCCGGGCATGGTGGCACATGCCTATAATCCCAGCTAAGGCAGGAGAATCACTTGAACCCAGGACGCGGAGGTTGCAGTGAGCCGAGATTGCACCATTGCACTCCACCCTGGGCAACAAGAGCAAACCCCGTCTAAAAAAAAAAAAAAAAAAAAAAAATATATATATATATATATGTATAAAGTTTCTTCCCAAATCATGACAATTATCATCATTTCACATTTTCCATATCTGGAAGTATCATAATAAAGAAAATTAAAACCTTAAGGTAGAATCACATCTCGTACAATGGATTTAGCACGGCAGTAACCTTAAGTTCTGACACCAGATAAATTTGGAAGTCAGGAAAGATAGTCATGATACTAAGACATATGTTTTAATCAGTTACATTGGAGTAGTTACCAGGTAATGGAATTCATTAAAAGAAGTGGTATATTCCATGTAGCTATATTAAATACTCGAGCATCCCAGAAGCTAGTGATACTATATGCTTCCAGTTTTCTGAGAAACTTGACCAGTTTAGCAGACTAGAAGCATCATCCAAAGTTCTTGTGCTTGCCTTATATCAAAGTTCTATAGTCTTTAAATACATCGGTAAGGATAAAGAGACTGGAGCAGAATCAGTTTGCTGAGTCAACAAAGTGCCCAAGATGATTACTGTTATTGTTTTCTCACCTCATCAACAAAAAGCATCCCATATATATATATGTATATACACCATATATATGTATATATACACACCATATATATACACACACCATATATATATATATATATATATATACCATACATATATAGTGTGTGTATATATATGGTGTGTATATATACATATATATGGTGTATATATATATGTGTATATATATGGTGTGTATATATATATGGTATATATATATTTTCCAATATCAATTTTCCAATATCAATCTACTGAGATATATCTCAGTAGATTGATATTGGAAAATTCGAACTACCATTTTGTTTATAGTCAGTAGTAATACCCTGCTAAAGGTCGATTGATTTATATGCTTTGGGAATACAGTTAATTCAAAACACTGCATGCTTGTACTTTGGAATAGTTGGTCCCATGAGGTATGAACTCAGACATACTCGTTTACTTCAAAGTGAAACAAAAATTCTGATTACCTTAAATAGAAAAAAATTGAGTTGCTGAGAATATACGTAAAATTGTCTTTTCATTTCTGTTACTTTAGTGATTAGAGTTTTTTAAAAATATAATTTCAAGTTTTATTTTAGATTCAGGGGGTACATGTGTAGTTTTGTTACATGGATATATTGCATGGTACTGAGGTTTAGAATATGAATGACCCCATCACTGAGGTAGTGAGCATAGTACCCAATAGTTAGTGTTTCAACCCTTGCTCCACTCTCTCCCTCCACCCTCTATTAATCCTCAGCATCTATTATTGCCATCTCTATGTCCTTAAATGCCCAACATTTAGCTCCTACTTATAAATGAGAACATGTGGTATTTGGTTTTCTCTTCCTGCATTAATTCACTTAGGATAATGACCTCCAGCTGCATCCATGTTGCTGCAAAGGACATGATTTCATTCTTTTTTATGGCTGCATAGTATTCCAGGGTGTATATGTACCACATTTTCTTTATCCAGTCTACCATTGATGATTCTCTAGGTTGATTCTACGTTTTTGCTATTGTGAGTAGTGCTGTGATTAACAAATGAGTGCATAAGTCTTTGGTAGAATGACTTATTTTCTTTTGGGTATATATCCAATAATGAGATTTCTGGGTCAAATGGTAGTTCTATTTTAAGTTCTTTGAGAAATCTCCAAACTGCTTTCTGTAGAGGCTAAACTAGTTTGCATTTTCACCACAGTGTATAAGTGTTCCCTTTTCTCTGTAGCCTCACCAGCATCTGTTCATTTTTGACTTTTGATAATAGCCATTCCAACTGGTGTGAGATGGTATTTCATCGTGGTTTAGATTTATATATCTCTGATGATTAGCTATGTTTAATGTTGTCTCGTACATTTGTTGACCACTTGTATGTTTTCTTTTGAGAAGTGTCTGTTCCTGTCTTTTCCTACTTTTTAATGGGGCTATTTGTTTTTTGCTTGTTGAATTGTTTAAGTTTCTTGTAGATTCTGGATATTAGACTTTTCTTGGATGCCTAGTTTGGGAATGTTTTCTCCCATTCTGTAGGTTGTCTGTTTACTATGTTCATAGTTTCTTTTGCTGTGGCAGAAGCTATTTAATTTAATTAGGTCCCACTTGTCAATATTTGTTTTTGTTGCAATTCCTTTTGAGGACTTAGTGATAAACTCTTTCCCAAGGCTGGCATCCAGAAAGGTATTTCCTATTTTGTTCTAGGACACTTAGAGTTTGAAGTCTTACATTTAAATCTTTAATCCATCTTGAGGTAATTTTTGTGTATGATGAAAGTTAGGGGTCCCATTTTATTCTTCTGCATATGACTAGCCAGTTACCCTAGCACCATTTTTGAATAGGGAGTCCTTTCCCTGTTGCTTATTTTTGTCAACTTTGTCACAGATCAGATGGCTGTAGGTGTGCTGCTTTACTTCTGTGTTCTCTATCCTGTTCCATTGGTCTGTGTGTCTATTTGTGTACCCAGACCATGCTGTTTTGACTACTGCAGCATTATAGTATAATTTGAAGTCAGGTAATGTGATGCCTCCAGTCTTGTTCTTGTTGCTTAGGATTACTTTGGCCATTTGGGCTCTTTTTTGGTTTTATATGAATTTTAGAATTGTTTTTTCTAATTCTGTGAAAAATGACATTGGTAGTTTGATAAAAAGAGTGTTGAATCTGTATATTACTTTGGGCAGTATGGCCATTTGATGATACTGATTCTTCCAGTCCATAAGCATGAAATATTTTTGTTTGTTTGCTTCCTCTATGATTTCTTTCAGCAATGTTTTGTAGTTCTCCTTGTAGAAATATTTCATCTCCTTAGTCAGATATACTCTTAGATATTTATGTAATGTGTATGTGTGTGTGCCTATTGCAAATGAGATTGTGTTCTTGATTTGGCTCTCAGCTTGAACATTATTGGTAAATAGATATGCCACCAATTTTTATTCATGGATTTTGTATCCTGAAATTTTTGTGAAGTTGTTTATGAGTTCCAGGAGCCCTTTGGCAGAGTCTTCAGGATTTTCTAGGTATAGAATCATATCATTAGTGAAAAGAGAGAGTTTGACTTCTTTTCCTATTTGGATGCCTTCTCTTTCGTTCTTTTGCCTGATTGATTGATCTAGGTAGGACTTCCAGTACTGTGCTGAATAGGAGTGGGGAGAATGGACGTCTTTGTCGTGTTTCTGTTCTCAAGGGGAATGCTTCCACATTTTGCCTATCCAGTATGATGTTGGCTGTGGGTTTGTTATGGATAGTTCTTATTATTTTGAGGTATGTTTCTGCAATGCCTAGTTTACTAAGGGTTTTTATTATGAAAGGACATTGGGTTTTATTGAGACTTTTCCCACATCTATTGAGATAGCCCAATGGTATTTGTTTTTAATTCTGTTGATGTGGTGAAATTGATTAGGATCTTAATGCAGATTCACAGATGAAAAATTGTTCTATTGAGTAGCAAATCCATGGATAGCAATCACAGCTAGATAGTCACAGCATTACAGAGTATCCATGAAAAGAACTGTTTACTTAGCATTTAGTAAAAGTCATAGAATACCAGTATATAAACCTCTGGACTTACAAATTGATAATAATTTTGTACATTTTTCTTAAGTTCTTGCTTGATCGAATATTTCTATTTTCCTATTAGTTTTAGGTTTGATTAATGGATCACTGTAAATTCAGATGCACCTTTGCACTCACAGTGAATATATGGATGTTCCTTCCACTTCTAATTGTTCCATAAGGATGTAAAATATTCTTAAAACTGTGAAAATGTTAAAGCACATTATAGCACACTTTATAGCCTTTCTTTGTATTTACCCTGCAAACAAGTCTTTGAAGCATAGAAATCTCACCTATCCATAATCACAATTGACTGCTTTACTAAATTTTAAAATGAGGTGGAATCGTAATGTATTTTAATTGCTAATAGGTAATAATGGCTAATAAATAGCAATTGGTTCAAACCTAACAAAAGTGGGACTCCATTTCCTAGTGTTCTTGCCACTGTGAACTTGAATGAGGCATTTATATATTCTGTAAAAGGTTAGTAATACAACTATTCTATAGTTTACTTTTGCAAATTAAGATGTATGTGAAGATAAAATATAAATAATTTGAGTTATCAGAAGAAAACTAATATCTAAATCTATGGTATCGTATAGTGAAATTTTACAGTAACAGGAGCTATTTATGGAATTAACTAAAACCTACAGGTGTGTGTTGGTGGAGCTCCTGACAACACAGCTTCATAAAAAAGAAACTGCTTGACTCAAGGAGACAGATAAAAAGAAGTGTGATTATATTATATGAGTTTGTGGTCATTTTTCCATGAATAGTTGAGAAAATGACTATGAAAAAGAGATTTGGTAAAGAAATGTATTATTATGGCTGAGCATGGTGGCTCACGCCTGTAATCCCAGCACTTTGGGAGGCCAAGGCAGGCGGATCACAATGTCAGGAGTTTCAGACCAGCCTGGCCAACATAGTGAAATCCTGTCTCTACTGAAAATACAAAAAATTAGCTGGGTGTGGTGGTGGGCGCCTGTACTCCCAGCTACTTGGGAGGCTGAGGCATGAGAATTGCTTGAACCATAGAGATGTAGGTTGCAGTGAGCTAAGACAGCACCACTGCACTCCAGCCCAGGCGACAGTGTGAGACTCTGTCTCAATGAAAAGTAAAATAAAATAAAAAAAGAAATGTATTATTATTCAGCGAAAAAATTAGTATATGTTATTGCTTATCAAGTGTTTTGCAACTCATTCTAATCAAGGCAAAATAACTTTATTGAAAATTGAAAATTACAGTCTCCATAACCAAGTGGTTATACATTACTTAGTACTTTCAAAGTGATACCTCATTGCTCTCCTTTAAGCTCTTATTCAAAGATATATTGACTGTCTAAGAATCTGTGCAGGTCATTTCTTTAAATACTTAGAAAAGGATTTTTATTTTACTAAGGTTATCTATTACCAAAAATTAATATTGAAATGAAAATAAATTTTAAGTACCATGATGAATATTTAGAGCTACTCCAACAGTTTAGTGCTATTTTTTTCTTGCAGGCTTGTACAGCATATGTGGATTTTATGATTTCTGTGGCCAGATTGATTCGTCAGGAAGAAAGATTGCCCATCGATGAAAACCAGCTTGCTTTGGAAATGAATAAAGTTATGGAATTGGAAAAAGAAATTGCCAATGTAAAACACATTTTTTTTTCTGATACACTGAATAATGTCAACCGCTTTTTTTCTTTCCCCTCTCTATCATACTTTAAGAGTAAAAGGTACAGCACTTTAACCAAGTAGTAAAAATGCATGGCTTGGTAATAGATCATTGACTTCAAAAGGACCTTTGAAACTAAAGAATTTTATAGTAAACTGGGTTCCTGACATTTAAAAGACACACTAAATTGGACAAATATTAAACTAGAAACACTTAATTGCCTTTTATAAGTGGATTCCATCAGAATTCTACCATTTACAGTCAAACTGTTGTTAGATGCCCTTCAGACTCAGAGCAAATGCAAAGCTGTTTTAGTTTTGATATGTATAGAATATTACTTTATTTTAAAGTTTAAAGTGATCACAGAGATTGTCTCTATTTCTTTGCTAAGAAGTATTAACCCCTGAACATAGCCATGTGGCAATGTGATACTACTGAGTTCAAATTGTCAGGCTGCTGAGCTGACGGAGGGTAAGACAATAATTTTGCAACAAAGCCCAAGGAGTGTATTCCTGAATTTCTTCTGGCTCTAGATCAACCCTTGGAGTCTGAGTTGGCACTTTCTTCCCTGATGATTCTTTGATAGGGCACTGCAGTCTCAAGTGAGTGAACTCTGAGTCTAAGCAGCATCCAGGTTACTGATTAAACCCATCGTCAGAGTCAGTCTAGGACCCACAGAGTTCTCTTTGTCATTGCAAACGACAACCTGCATCCCTGACTCCCTATCTGCTTGCCCCTGCCATCTAAGCTCATCAGAATCTTGAAGAGTTAAGATCATGGAGGGCAATTTTAGCTTTCCTGGGGCTACGTGAAACCAAAAATCTCCTATCAGAACCAGGGTGTTCTTGGAGCTGCCACTGAATGAATGGCATTTGAATGGGTTACATGTGGTTCTGTGTTGGAAACAGACTTGCTAGAGGAGAAATGTTTCCTGCTCTGGGTTTTTGCCACTTGCACCTTCCCAGACCATGCGCTCCTTTGACCAGCATCAGCTCTGTAGTGTTGTGTCTTACCTCAGCATTATGTGTCTATATTCTCACTCTTGTATTAGATTCTTGTATTAGATTGGCATGAGGCCTTAGACGTCTTTGAATCATTTATGCATCTCTAACAAAATCCAGCATAGTATTGCACAAAGGACATGCTCAATAAATAATTGTTTTCAGTAAATGAATAGGTAAGTGACCTAAAGGGGAAACTGGAGCCATTGTCACTGAGAAATAATTCCAATTTTAAACCTTTACCTTTTGTCTCTTCTCACTTAAAATTGCTTTTACTCATTTCAGCCACTAGTTGGGGAGTTGTTATTGCAATTTTTCTTTTTAATTCAGTGAAAGAAATAAAATTGGATGCTGCTGGTCTGGCAGGATAGGAGAACAGTCACAAAGGTCCATGATGTTGCCATTCTCAGATAACTTGCAACCAAATTGTGCTCTGTACTAGGAAGTTTCTCTGTTACTTGCGATAAATTCTTATAGAAACTCTTGCACCTTTTTTTCCTTGCTGAATTTTAACTAGGACACCGAATGGTAATGGTGAAGATGGGAGAGAGAGTATTTAAGAGAGAAATTGGAGATGACTATATCAAAGAAAGTTAAAATATGAAACATTCACAGACACAACTGAACTGGCCATTAGCCATAGCTCATAAATATTGCTTATATGGCTTGGCAGTTGTCAAAATATAGACAGATTTTTTAAAAATTTTAAACTTGACCCCACAGCCAAATCTCAATAATTCTTACTACTTCTACTCCAAAAATCTCTTACATTTCACTTTTTTTGAAATGACAAAACAAATTACAAAAACAAGTACAGAATAGGACTTAAATTATGTTGTACCTATCCTATATTTTTACCCTCATATGTAGTTATATTTTTCTAAAGAATTCTTAATTCTAAAATAATGATTAAAAATTAAATCCATAGGCTACGGCTAAACCTGAAGATCGAAATGATCCAATGCTTCTGTATAACAAGATGACATTGGCCCAGATCCAAAATAACTTTTCACTAGAGATCAATGGGAAGGTAAGTGGTAAGTTTTTTGTGCTCTCTTATTGTGCCGTTTTCTAAATTATAACATTGAAATACTCTTTCTAAAATTCGTCAAGTTTTTATTTATTGAAGTAAATGGGACTTCAATTCCTTTTTTTTTTTTTTTTTTTTTTTTGAGACAGGGTCTCACTCTGTTGCCCAGGCTGGAGTACAGTGACACAATCTTGGCTCACTGTAACGTCCACCTCCCAGGCTCAAGCGATTCTCCTGCCTCAGCCTCCCAAGTAGCTGGGACTACAGGCATGCACCACCACACCTGGCTAATTCTTGTATTTTTAGTAGAGATGAGGTTTGGCCAATCTGGTCTCGAACCCCTGAGCTCGAGTGATCTGCCGGCCACAGCCTCCCAAAGTGTTAGCCACAGGTGTGAGCCACCACTCTTAGCTGGTAAAATTCCTTTTAAGGCAGCTATACAATAATACTAGAAACTCCCATAGGAAGGGGTTTGAAAAATACTAAAACTGAAAATCTTTCTGAGAGGCCATTATGTAGTCATCAGACTTGGACAGTCACACAATAAAAGCACTAGATTTCCTTTTAACTCCAAAAAAGGATAATTTATTCATAGAACTTCCCGTGTTCTCATCAAGGCCATCTACAGAGGTGTTCAGAACAATAATTCAGAAATAGGACACAAATAAAAAGAAAAGCTCTCTCATAGATTCCATTTATAAACAGCAGTTGACTTCTTTTTCCTTACCTAGTATCCAATAATCTCTTTTTGTGGCTATGCATTTATTCTCGTGTATTAGTTGATGCACACAGCCAAGAGATGAAGCAATATCCATGGGAAAACCTACAAACTACCACATTCAGCGATGACATTCTCTTTGGCACTAATTCTAGTTAACAAGGACTTTTCCAAAGGCATAAACTATTGAGTTAGACATCTTACATAGAATTTTTTAATATAATAAGTGTTTAATAAATACGTTTTGAAAGAATGACCTAAACCACCAAAGGAAATGAAGAAAATTGTATAGCATAGCACCCTATACTCAGTAAGTGATGTGTGCTTGTGTCTGTGTGTGTAAAATACAACCTAAGATATTGATAGTCTTAAACATTATCAATTCCCATTTAGAAAGACAAGATTTCATCTTTTGGCAACTCCGTACTTAGCTTCTGAAGTATAAACATGGCATGCCTGTAGACCCAATATCGATAATTGAAAAGATGCTGTTTTCTTTGACTTCATAACATCACTGTACCACTGCTATAACAGTATATTTTCATCTATAATAGGATTTCCACTGAGATGTGTTACTGTGTTTGAATGAATTGTTTATTAATACCCACTTTTAAAAGCTAAACACTTTACACACATTTCCATTTTTGCATAAACCAAAAAAGCTTTATTTTTAAATTTAAATTTAAATTATATTTTTATTTTCTGTATTGGTTAGACAAAGAAGATGACATTAAGCCTAATTTCTAGGTATATGTTCCTTAAGCTTAAAGGCTTTGTTTTCGCTCTTAAATGGTTGGCTTAATTATGCTAGGTAAATAATCATGTTGCAGAACTAGTTTTTATTTAAAAACTGATTGAAACAATTGAGGAAGAATCCCAAGTGAATATCAAACTGATCCAACCCTCTAACTATAACTGAATCTTGGACCCAAGAAGAGAAATCCACAATTTCTGAATGTTTCATGCCTGCTTTTTTCCAGCCATTCAGCTGGTTGAATTTCACAAATGAAATCATGTCAACTGTGAATATTAGTATTACAAATGAGGAAGATGTGGTTGTTTATGCTCCAGAATATTTAACCAAACTTAAGCCCATTCTTACCAAATATTCTGCCAGGTAGGTATGTCACAGTCCCCATGTCCTCAAAGTTTGCATTTCATATCACTCTTCAGAAGCTTTGCAGCCTCATCTTTTCTGTTGCTGGGCGGTGGTTTTTTTTATACAGAGATCTTCAAAATTTAATGTCCTGGAGATTCATAATGGATCTTGTAAGCAGCCTCAGCCGAACCTACAAGGAGTCCAGAAATGCTTTCCGCAAGGTGAAGAAAAAATCTCTCTTTTCTTAAGACTTAAAGCATAAAGTGATACATGGTTATGAAGGCTTACCATGTACACTGCTAGGACATGGTGAACTTTGCAAAGGGACAAAATGCCAAAGTTCGTTATCTTGCACATATTTAGGACATGTTGCTGAGGAAGATAAATCTTCATGGGCTTTACCATCTTATGATGGTCTATGTGGCACGATGATTGCATTGTCCTGTAAGGAGTTACATTTGGTTATTTAACCAGTTCATGAAAGAATACTGTCTGGATTTTTTGTTGTTGTTACTGTGTTAAAAGTAATTTCGGGGTTATCTATTTTAATTAATTTGATTTTCAGGTGCTCATTGCACACTGGACATATACACAGATGGACAATATTGATGTGGGCAGTCTATTGAAAGTACCCCTACCTGGAGTTAAATAAGACCTTTTCTTAGCCTATACCTATATTATTTAAACAATCACTGTTTTGGTACTATGGTGAGGGGAGTAGGCAGTAGGGATTGAGGAAGGAGAGACTCCAGCAAACATGTTAGTTGGAGTCTTGGAAAGAAAATAACGTGGACTGATTAAAATTTCTAGTTTTTATCCTTAAAAAGAAAATGTAGACATCTTTTTAAAATTAAAGAATGCAAAAATGTATTGTGCTAAATCTCCCTTACTTAGGTTATCCTGTTATTCTTAAATTTATACACATACAGGTTCTGTAAGTACTCAGAGTTCAGCTAAAACCTTGAAAAGCAGTAATGTGTTTTCTCATATACCATATTTCCCCCATTACATTTATTGAATATGACTTCACATTTATGTTTGTGCAGTGGTTACAGTGTTGTATGTTTTTCTAACGCTTTCTACAATGATATTAAGTTGTAATAGCAAAAAGTTCTACTGGGGCATCTACTGAAAATATGCCTAGTTTTCAGATCATATATAAGTAAACAATCCATTTGGATTACATTTCATCATAGGCTAGGAACATGGGCCTTGTGAGGAGAAGTGATGAATATTTCAAGAACTTAGATGAGACATTTGTGAAATGTGTGCTCTTAACATGCTCCAGACCTTTCCTTCTGGTCAAATGCCATTTCCTTTTTCTTTTCCGTAGGCCCTTTATGGTACAACCTCAGAAACAGCAACTTGGAGACGTTGTGCAAACTATGTCAATGGGAATATGGAAAATGCTGTGGGGAGGCTTTATGTGGAAGCAGCATTTGCTGGAGAGAGTAAACATGTGGTAATGTTTTCAGAATAATACACTGTCAGTTATACAGGACACTATCAGTTTGTTCACACTGATGAGCAATTACAGTTCTCCATCATTTGGCTAAAATTTTATTAATTTAGGCAGAGAACCTCTGAATCATAATATGCCATTGTTTCCCAATAAATCTTCCCTTGCCTTCCCCAAGAGTCTAGTTATGTTTCTGCTCCTAATACTGTCTAGTCTGAAACCAACTCACCATTTTCCAGAAGCAGTGTATTTGGAGTACCCAGTAACATGTTCTATTGATATAGTCATTTATAAACTCTTCTATTATCAAAATTGCCCCCAAATTAGTATTTTCTTAAAAACATAGAAAGTAAAACAGGATTTATTTGGAGTATAAGAAATGTGCTTTATTTTTCATTGTTAGGAAAATGAAGACAGTGGAACTTAATGGTATGGTGAAAGAATTTATTGAAATGCTACTTTATGCTTAGCTAAACCACTAATGGTAATGACAGCCCTAATATTTTACATTAGTTCTTCCAGTATGATAGTGAAACCATTATATTCTGAAAATGATTTTTACCTTAATGCATATATTAAGACCTATTTAATCAAGAGTGTCGATAATAGCAATATTGCTTTTAAAATATAATGGTCCCATATATCTGTTAGCTTAGGTCACAGTTTGTCTATAAATTTACGTTTATTAACATATTAAGTCATACAAAGATAGCATGTAGCTCTATTTTTAAAAATCTGTGTTACAAAGAATGAATTAATGACCTATATTTGTCTTCTGTTCTGATTTGAGGTCGAGGATTTGATTGCACAGATCCGAGAAGTTTTTATTCAGACTTTAGATGACCTCACTTGGATGGATGCCGAGACAAAAAAGAGAGCTGAAGAAAAGGTAAAGAGCAGACAGCTAACTAGCAAAGAAAAATCTTTGCTAGTATAGGAAAAATTAACTTTAAAAACATTTAGAAAAAAATATAATCAAAGATTGCATAAAAACTTGTAAGCTCCTTCAATATGTAGTGTTTCCAGAAAGAGTTTTTGTGGATAAAGATATATTTCTACAATTTTAATCTTTTATCTCTGCAACCAATACTCTAGCAAGGTGAAAATATTAAGTTTCTGTTCAAGCAAATGTAAGGTGGTGCACTATTGGTGCATTATAAGATCTATAATTAAAGAGATGTTGAAGAAGCTTTTTTATAACTATTCATGCCCACCCATAATGTGCAGCTTTTATTGAGACTTTTACTGAGTTTCATAAGAATAGGTCTAAGATTTCTCAGGAAATCTTAGGTTTAAATTTACTGTGATCATTTGTCTTTATAATTATATAATAACTAGGGGGAACATGTCCTGTGAAAACTGTTAACATGCTTTATGAGCAACATTCACATGCATCCTGACTAATCTCTGTAGTTAGGTTGGCAGAAAAAGCAGACGATTTGGATTGATAGAGGAGACAATAATAAATGTATTTTAATAAGATAATCAACCTTGGTCTAGTTTTCTTTTAGAATTAAATCACATGGAAGGACTATCTTTTTTCAGCTCTCAAAGAGCCCTGAGTGGGTTAGGCCTAGAACCTCTGCCCCCAGTATTGCTATCTTTCCATCACTCTGGCCAGCTCTTCAGACATTCAGGTTGGATTTGCTCCTTTCATGTCACAGCTGTGCATGACATGGCTCTGCTTGGTAAAGCCAGTTGGATTGTTCTGGATCGGCATTTCCAAAGTGGTGTCACAAAATACTGGACATGCAAGTTATTCCACAAGAGGCTCATGGTCAAAAGAGTTTGGTGAACACTTCTTGTAGGAAGGCTTCCCTCATCTCACCCTAGGCTGGGTTACATGCTCCTAGGGTGTGATTTTATTATCATACGTGGGAGTTAATATTTATTTCACTGCTTATCATTGCTGTTTACAATAAGCTCTTTATGGTTGGGGGCAGGGGGGCAGAAAATACTGCCTAGCATTATATCCTCAGCCCTTTATAACATACCTGGCCCTTGGTAGACCCTTGAAATATATTGAGTGAGTAAATTGATAAATTAATTTCCCATCCTGGATATTTATAATAACTTATGATTCTAACCTTATAATCTAACCCATTTTTAATTGTAAGAAGTCCTGCAATAAAGAAACTTGCTTAATGTTTTTGCGACAGCATTTACCCGAAGTAATTCACAATAATTTTTTTGTGTGTTTACTACCTTATACTTTCTGTAGAATTTGTATCCTTTAGAACACTCTTTAAGGAAATGTCTTACAGTAAATAAAGTATCATTAAGTGGGGGCTGGATTGTCATGACTGATGGCAAACCTACAAGAAAATGGGTTTGGCCTCAGTGACTTCAGTGATACATATGAGGCCTGATCCACTGACTGGGGAAATCCTGGGCTCATGTGACAGATTTGTAATAAAACTGCATCCATTTGATGGGAAACCATGTAACTCAGAGATACAGGCTAAACCCCCCATGAAAAATTTAAATTAATTAAATTATTTAAGAGTGATACGAAGTGGTAAAATCAAAAGTCAAGTATCATTGAGAAAATCAAGAGAGAAATAAAATAAAAATAGAAATAACAAGTAGTAAACAAGTGATAATGAAATAATAAAATAAGTAAAATAAACCATTTTAAAATAATTAAAAATGAACTTTAGAAGTAGTGATAAATAGGCCAGGTGCAGTGGCTCCCTGGTGTAATCCCAGCACTTTGGGAGGCCGAGGCAGGCAGATTGCTTGAGCCCAGGAGTTTGAGACTAGCCTGGGCAACGTGGTGAAATGCTGTCTCTACAAAAAATACAAAAATTATCTGGGCATGGTGGTGCATGCCTGTAGTCCCAGCTATTTGGGAGGCTGAAATGGGAAGATCACTTGAGCCCAGGAGGTGGAGATTGCAGTGAGCCCTGATTGTGCCACTGCACTTCAGCCTGGGCAACAGAGCAAGACCTTGTCTCAAAAGAAAAAAAAAAAAGATAGTAGTAAATACATAATAAATATGAGCTGGAATAACAAGGAAAACCTCGTTTTCCACTTAACTAATTAATGTCATTTATTGAACTTGAGAAGATAGGTACACTGACTTTGGAGAATAAAGGAGAACATAAAAACTCCAGGAACCAATATTTAGGACTAGTATTAGCAGTAAACCTATAAGCCCATATCTGTTTTCTCAGTCAAATCAATGAGGCAGAAAGGTAATTATAACCTGCTGGAATGGAAGCTGTAAATATTACTTCTTCTAAAAAATTGAAAAAAAAAGCTTTGAGAGAAAAAGTTCATAAAAGTACAAAATATGTGGAACAATGAGTTTTGTCAGTTTTTATGTTGGTTTTCTTGAGAAAGCTGCAGCCTATAAGGATAAGGCATTAGAAACTCAATTTCAGACCTGATTTTCATTTATTCTTGAACCTCCCAGGAAAGAGCCATTGCAAAGATCTCTGTTTAAGTATGTCAGACACTCATTTTATGAACAGTATGGATCAAGTTATTCAATTGCTAGTCATGGGCAGATTATAAATTTGTATCTGAAAGTTATATAATCATCTTCACATTCAATATTATAATTTTCATAGGCCTTAGCAATTAAAGAAAGGATCGGCTATCCTGATGACATTGTTTCAAATGATAACAAACTGAATAATGAGTACCTCGAGGTAAGTCTCTATAAAATAGACTCTGGACTACTGATACTTAGGGCTGGTAGTAGTGTCATTTTTAGCTATGGGGTGCCTGAAATTATATGAAGTAGCCTGAAACCACAGGTTGTATTATATAAAGCCTTCAACGCTGGTGCCAGAATGATATTTGTTTTAGCCTTTTTGTTTTCATTAGCCAGGACTATATTTGGTTATTGTTCATTTGGTTTCCATATATTCCATTTTAAGAACCGTAAGTAAAATCTGGTGTCCTTTAAAGAGTATCAAGGAAGGGATAGACATCAAGGTGGTGAACAACAGGCAGGCTTCTTATCACATTTTACACAGGCTTCGAGTTTCCCTCCACCTTCTAAGTTTTCCTCTACTGGAAAAACCAATTCATGCCTACTGTATTTTAAAAACAAAACAAAACAAACCCTGATATTTGAGAACTGAAAACTATTTTGTTCTGCCCTGGTAATGTAACAGTTAAAAGAGCAGAGAGTTGCTTAAAGTCACTGCAGTGCTGATTTCAGACTCAACTGAAAGTCTTGCTGCTAACTCTGCAGTCACCACAACTACATGATACCCTGATGACAGCGAGGTGATCCTTGCCCAGGTCCTGGGATGACAGTGATTCCTCATTCATTGATTACTAGTCTAGCATGGGGATTTGCAAACCATACTGCCTTCTTCTCTCTTTCCATTTGCAGAAGAAACTTGACTTTTTCTTTTAAATGAGCTGGTTATAGCTTGCAAGACCCAGGGGTCCTTATAGCAGGAGCATAGTGGCTACGAACACAGACTCAAAACCAAGTTCCTTGATTCCAGATCCCAGTTCCACCACTCATTTAAACTTGGTCGAGTGACTAAACTATATCTCAGTTTCCTTGACTTTAAAATGGGGATAGGAGCCCTTAGTTCATCGGTATTAAATGAACATAATATTAGATTCTATTAGTATAATAGAATTAAATGAGTATAATGTAAAATTTAAAGTACTTAGAATAGTACTTGGCACATGGTAAGTACTAAAGAAGAATGTGCTATTATCCACATGTGTTATGTGAAGATTAATGTCATTAATGTGAGGTTTGTTTGACACTTGGTTTCATTTGATTATTATAAAATAATACACTGAATTTGTGATTTGGCTGGAATACTGACCTGTGATATACTAATAGAATTAGGTTAACTGGAACTACATCCTTTTTTGGTAAGTTTTTTAATGCTCTCTTTTAACTTTATTGACTGATATAATTTAAGAAAATCCCTATGTTTTTAGCAAAAATTTAGAAGATACCGGTTTTAATATTTCTTCCCAAATCTTCTTTATAATACAGTTGAACTACAAAGAAGATGAATACTTCGAGAACATAATTCAAAATTTGAAATTCAGCCAAAGTAAACAACTGAAGAAGCTCCGAGAAAAGGTGGACAAAGATGAGTGCGTATATTCTCATTTCTAATGTGATCATCTAGAAGCAGGTCTTTCCCTCCTTTCTTTGTTGGATTAAGTGAAAGAGCCTCAGTTAGAAAAATATTAAAAAGTACAAAGTCCTCTTTTTATTGAGAACTTCTAAAAGCATCTAATTATGGTATACTAAAGATATGGATCAAGACTTTAACCAGATTAAAATACCTTTCTCATTAAGGTATCCTCAAATTTACATGTCTTTAGTTTCGTCTTATGTCATTGCCTATCAGCTCAATTTATTTGTGAACAAGATTCTCAAAAACCTTAGCTTAAGTAAGCCAATTCATAGCTCCTTTAAGCCTTCTCTTAGGCCTTACTCTGTGTCCAGAATTTTCTTCTGCTGACAGCCCCACCTTTTTTCTATCAGTCAATCCCACAACTCCATCCCCTTCATAGATAGTTAATGTAAGACTTTTCTAACCCTGTGGTAGTCAAATAGGAGATACTAGGAACCATTCTTATTCACAGTCTTCTTATGCTCTTAATCTCTGCTTATTAGTGACATTAGTATTTCCTAATAACTATTAGTTTAGATTTTATTTTTTCTATTAAATAGATATAACTAACATATTTATCAGCATATGTGTTTATGCACCGAAATTCCTAGAACCACTTATGTTGACTTTTTCTCCCTAGGCTCTTAGCCCCTAGACAACAGGGGCTATTCCTTTTGACCATAAAGTCTCAGCATCTAGCATACTGAAGAATCTCAGTTAAAACAAAATTAATGAGTGAGTGAGCAAGTGAAAAATAAATATACTAACTTGATTTGTGTGGTAACTAACACAGTAACATGCCAAAGAGGTGCTTGTTTCATTCATGCATTCATTTATCCTTTCATGCATTTATTAACATTTTGGAACACGAAGTCCAGGTGTCATTGGGTACTGGGAGAATCAAAGGTGAACTTTGATTACATTACAAGAGCAGAAGGTAGACAAGACATGGTGTAATAAACTGCACCACCAAGAGGGAAATGTCGTGCCAAGCAAAGTACAAAGTGCTGTGGGCTTATTTGATGATAAGACTGTTCTGTTCTCAGTAAACCAAGTACAGGTTGGACAAAACTGCTAATGGAAATGCCAGTGCATTTTAATCCTTACTCAACATGTTGAACTCTTGCAACACTGACGTGTCCTGAAAGAGAGAGCAACTCTTTTGCTGACTTCTAAGTTCATATTGGAACAAATATTGTGTTATCTGATGCTAAAAATGGGATTGCAAATATTATAGAATGTTTAGTGTCCCATCTGGGAAAGAAAGAGAGTGAATACACATGCTTGGCATTATAATCAAGTTACCATATCCTGTCTCTTGAAACACACAAAAAGTTATGCAAAATAATTATCTGGGTGAATTTATGATCTGAGAAATTTCTTATAAGTCTGTATATTTGTATTTCTTTAAAAATAGACATACTAAGATTTAATAATTGTTAGCACTATAAAATATCTATAGACAAATACTGTCAAATATTATTTCTGAAATGGCCAAATTAACCAGTACCCATAGGACATCAGGAAATTTCTTCATAATTCTAGAAATAGTTGTTGAATTATTGCTTGATGTTTTCTTTTGAGGTTAACGTAGTGCCAGTTTCATAATCATTTTGTCATATAATTTACACTGTTCATTCCCTTTCATCATATGGGCTGATTTTCTCTGCATTCTTCTCTTTTTAAGATAGATAATCAAAAGCCAAAAGTGTATACAATATTTTAATGAATGAATGGTCAATAGCACACATGCTTCAGTAGTACTTTTTGGTCCTCCCCATGAGCTTCTGATGATCACAAATGCAATATGAATTCTAAGGTCTTCTCTGCTATATGGAGCCAGCTTTCCTTTCTTTCCTATAGTCTGCCTGTATACCAGATACAAAGGTTCAAAACTCTAGCTGCACATGATAATCACCTGGGGAACATTTTAAAAAACACTGATTCCCCAGCTCAAGCACCCTAGAATGTGATGTAATTGTTCTGTAGCTGGAACCCAGATACTGGTATTCTTTTTAAGTACCACCCACCAAGTGAGAACCCCTGAGTTAGTGTTATTTCCCTTTTGTGTGATATCATTCCTGTTCATATTCAATTTTATGGAATTTTTCACAAGATGATGCCTTTAATTTGGCAATTTAGGTTTAAAATTTATTTTTATCTTCCAAAATAATCAGAAACCCTCTGACAGTAATTGCATCAAATCATTAAGACTGAGCCCTATAGGATACAACATGATCGAAGCTCCTCTCATTTTATTAAGGTTTCTTGCAGGGAAAGTTACTGACTTATTTTGAACCTGCTTAATAGTAATAAAGTTGGCTGGACATGGTGGCTCAGGCCTGTAATCGCGCCACTGCAGTCCAGCCTGGGCGACAGAGCAAGAATCCGTCTAAAAAAAAAAATGTAATAAAGTCATTACTCTTTTTTCTTTTCTCTTTTTGTGGAGCACCAAGTTCAAGTCCTTGCTGTGTATGTTTAGACAGATAATTTCTGTTGCTTCTACTTGTCCACATAGCCCGTAGTTACATCTTAGAGAATTACATTTTCAGATGCTCAAGATCCTCACTCCCAAAGTCTTGAAAGAGAAATATGTGTGCATACCCAAAACTGAAGGGACAGAGTTGAGACTTTTGTAGGGTTGTATTGTAGGGCACTTCAGAGAAATGATGATGCATTAAATTTTCAAGACAGCAACTAATGTAAATGAATTCAATTAGCCAAATAGTAAACTTCTAGACACTTTTTTCCCCCAATTCACATGCTCTCACTGGGCAAACTCATTTTACTTCTCGACATCTTCTATCATCATCATGTCAGCTGAATATTTGTATTTGACTCAGATCCATTTACTAAGATTCAAATCCAAATGTCTACATGCTTATGAAACATCTCCATGTAGATGTCTTATTGACCCTAAAAACACAGCATTTGTCATTTAGGCAAAAAATAATATCTGCCCATTTTCTAAAAACCTCCATTTTACTGCTACCAAGACAGAAACCAAGGACTCATTTTAATCATCCTAGACTTATCCCTTTCTGTTATTCCTGACATCTACAGTGATAGTTAATTCAAATCTCCATTTTAAAAAAAAAGTCTGCATCCACCAGCTGCTATTTAAATATTACGTAGGAATGGGAAGAGGGGATCTCTAGCTCACCATTCCCATGGTCACTTCTGTAATTCAGACATTTCTCACTGTTCATTGACTCATCTCAATTATTATCCTACTTTTTTTACCAACCACCTTCTATATCTTCAGTTTATCCTCCACACTACTACCTTAGAGATTTTTTTGAAGACACAAATTGGCATTTTATTTCCTGATGAAAACACTTCAGTGTATCCCTGTTGCCTGTCTCATGATGTGTGACTGTTTTGAAGAGAACCAAGGCTCTTCATACCCCACACTAGCACTCCAGAGTTCCTTCACATTCACCCTACACCTCACCATTGTCCAAAGCTCCAACCATATGAATTACTTCCAAATCCTTTCTCTGTCTTTCTTACATCCTTGTCTCTTACCCTGGACCACCCTTTATGCCCTGGTTCATCTAACAGAAACCTACACATGATTTGATTAAACTTTAAGTGTCACCTCCTTCCTCACAGCACCCCATTGCATATTTCTCTTCACCTTGGGCTGTTCTACACTTTGCACATTTTGGTCAAAGTACCAGTACATTTTACTACGTTTAGTTGGACTAGCCCCTATTGAAAGCAAAAACCAGATATTTGTGTCACCAGAGCTTAAACACTAATGAACAGAATGTAGCTCTTTATGAATGTTTATGGGAAGAATAAATGATAAAATTGCCAATTTGTAATAATGATAATAAAACTAACTCAGCTGCTAAAATAAAAATGGTCACATCTGGCTGGGCCCAGTGGCTCACGCCTATAATCCTAGCACTTTGGGAGGTCAAGGTGGGCGGATCACTTGAGGTCAGGAGTTTGAGACCAGCCTGGGCAACATGGTGAAACCTCGTCTCTACTGAAAATACAAAAATTAGCCAGGCATGGTGCCATGCAGCTGTAATGCCAGCTACTCAGGAGGCTGAGGCAAGAAAATCACTTGAACCCAGGAGGTGGAGGTTGCAGTGAGCCAATATTTTACCACTGCACTCTAGCCTGAGCGACAGAGAGACACTCCGTCTCAAAGAAAAAAAAAAAATGGTCACATCCAAACATTTCACTATCATGGCTGGGGAAGATACACAACATCATCTTTAACAAATTCAAGAAATTGAGGAAGTCAGGAAGTCTGCATGTGAGACACCCAAGTTAATAATTTAGCTAAAAGGGCCTCCCTCTGCTCTTATGAGTGGCTGGCACCTGCAAAGGACAGGGATTTACTTTTTTTTTTTTTTTTAAGACGGAGTCTCACTCTGTCACCCAGGTTGGAGTGCAGTGACACCATCTCGGCTCCCACCTCCCAGGTTCAAGCGATTCTCCTGCCCCAGCCTCCCGAGTAGCTGGAATTACAGGTGTGCACCACCATGCCCAGCTAATTTTTGTAGTTTTAGTAGAGACGGGGCTTCACCATGTTGGCCAGGCTGGTCTCGAACTCCTGACCTCAGGTGATCCACCCACCTTGGCCTTCTAAAGCGATTTAAATTTTAAAAGCTCTTGATTCATGTGGTTTCTGATGCCTAGTATGTGTTTCCAAAATCATCTCAAACATTATGTCTTTTAAGGATTTTGCGCCAGTTTGTAAAGAATTTTAAACATGTCATTATAACATAGAAATAGTGCTGAATCGGGAATATAATACCCTTTGGTTACTTAACAATATTTCTAAAATATTTACTTCTAGTAACATGAATTTTCATTTAGAGTTCATAGAGCAAACATGAATCTCTAAAGAAAAAGATGTACAAGAACAAAACAAAATGAGTCTCTTGTTTTTAGACTTGATGTTATTTTGTTAGTTTCTCAGGACAGAACTTCCTGTGATATAATTGTGATGGGTGTTGCTAGTGTTTGTGAATCATAACTGTTGAGCCCTGGAGTTAACTTTTTATAAAGTACAAAGAGGAATCTCATTGGTGCATCTCTCTTGCTGTTCTGCATCAAAATGAAAGCATACTGACATTGACAGGAGCCAAGTCAATAAACATTTATTGAGCAGCTAGCTTGTGCAGAGCACTGTGCTAAACAAAATAGATGACAAAGAGGAGAACAAGATGTTGCCCTTTACTCGGGAGTCTATGATCTTAAGGGGCAGATGATTAAAAATTAAATCTGATGAAAGGCGGGGTTTGGTTGCTGCTATTACCAGGAAACAAAGTGCTAGAACAGCACTTTTTTCAAACCACAAAGCTTTACTTATTAGTAAAACACAATTTTTCAAACCACAATTAAACCTTTACTTATTAGTAAAACATTCTCTGGAATCAATATGTCAGCATTTAAATTAATATTGAGGTGAGCAGAGGATTCACAAAAAACAAAACAAAAATGATTGGCTCATTTCTGTCTGCCCCTTGGTTGCTTCAAGCATGGTGTTTTTTTTCTAATCTGGTGCAATTGGATGGTGGCACACCTCTGAAATAAGTGGAACCCCTAAAGCTGGCAGCTCAACATCTGTGACTCCGTGGTGCATATAGAAAGTTCCTGAAAGGCCAGCACCACCAAAAATGGCAGAGCAGTTGGCACCCTGGGAAGTGACACTGTAGTTTTGCCACTGCAATGAGTGCCTAATACTCTTTTAGTGTTCCAGTTCTGCCATTCACAACCTGTGGCCTTTTAAAAGCCCTGTGGTTTCCTTATTTATAAAATGAGTAGGCTGTGCTAGACTGTAGAATGTGTCTGAGGTTCTTTCTGGCACTAAAATTCTGTGGACCTTACTGTGAAGTTTTCATAAGAGCCAGGAAGTTTTCCTCCTTGGCTTCTCCGCATCAAATGACCCAAGAGAAAAAAACACATTCTTGAGTGGCAGAGAAGTACCTCGCTTCTTTCTAAAATATCCCTTCTGATTTTTCCACTTCACTAATGTTTCTAGAACCAACCTTCTTTCTAACTAAGTTCTGTATAGTTCAACTTGAGTATCAAAGGAAAAATAATTATGCAGAAATTATATGGGTAAATATGATGGCCCAGCAGTGGAAAGTTGATAGTCTCTCGAGGGTGGGCAGGCGGAGCACCGGACACTTGAGACAAATGACTCTCCATAAATGTAGACGGAGATGATTTGTAAAAAGGACTATTTGACTCAGCAAGTATTAGCCAGAAAGAAGAGATACACTAAACTTGAACAAATCAGTTTAATTTCCCAAGGCAGTATCTGCCATGGCATCCTCATGTTTTGCACATGTTGTAACAGATGAAAATTTTAGATTTTTACGTTTTATGCTTCCATTAAGCCAACAGAGTCTTTGCAGATTTTCATTGTGTTTTGGGGTTGTTAGCAAAATGTGTTCTATTGGCAAAAAGATTTCTGCTTTTTAGTCAGCATTTGATGAGGGATTCTGTTTTGTTTCGTTTTGTTTTGTTTTCCAGAGGGGGAAGGGGAATTAGAAAAGGAAGCCGAATAATTTAAAGGCTGAAATTTTAGGTAGTTCTTTTTTAAAAACAAAACGAAACAAAAATATCATCTTCAAACAACACAATTAAAAGGTCCTAAACTTCCATTTAAACTGAAAGAACTTTGCAAAAGAATTCTGATACATTTATTTCAGTGTCATCTCTTGAAAGGACAACATTCAACGGTGCACAGTTTCTGACAGCCACCACTCTCTATGACGTGCATAGCAATGGTGCCCTCTGCCCTCCTAGAGTCACAGGATGAAATGGGTCAGCACTCTGGGAGCTTGGAGGACCCAATGCTATACCAAGGCCCAAATAGCCAAGTGCCTACTATGCTCCCACCACTGGTCTTAGCCTTAGGATTCAATTAAGAACAAAACATGGAATATTCTTGCCTTCATGGAATTACCTTCTAATGAGCTAGGTAGACAATAGTCTTATGTCAAGTTATGTAAGTACTGAGGGTTATACAGTATGGAACAGGTTTCAGTTCTTTCCTGGAAGTTCTCAGAATTACTTTAAATCAGGAGAAAAGTCACCAAAGAAAATTCTGACAGAAATGATCCACCCACCCAAGTGTCTCCAAAATTAGGAATCTCTCCGAAATAAAGCATACCAAGTGTGTATGCACATATATGTGCATGTACACATATATAAGGTTAGCAAAGACTAAAAAGATTGTGCCTTGTTGCCAAACAGAACTACACACAAACAACTGGTAACATCTAGGAAAACAGTAGTAATTTTCCATTACCTTTTGTTGAAAGAGAAGTGGCTTCTCCCAGTTTAGTGTCAAAATCAGAGTCCTAGCCTCAGACAGATTCAGGTAAGTCACCCAGAGTACTTCAGTTATGTTAACAACCATATGCAACAATAGAAGTTCTTTGGTCCTACTGTGCTTTTGCCTTTGGGTAAAAAGTTACACTTATGGATCATTGGGAAGAGCCTGTGCTGTGGAGTCAGGGGGTGAGGGGAGTAGACCTGAGTCAGAATTCCTGCTTTGCCTCCTAACCTCTGAACCTAGAATTTTTCCTTTATAATCTGGTGATAATGACTTCACTTTTGTCCTGCATGGTTGTGTTCTACGTTGTATAATGCACCTAGAACATAACTTAGGTGCTCATTAAATAGTAACCAGTGTGACACAGTAGTAAGAAATGGTCATCTTCATTTTTAAAGAGGATGGCAAGAAAATGGCATTAATCCCTGTAATGAAATTTTGTGTATGGTGCAGATCAACAGCTTAGGAGTAGGAGATTTGATTGGAAGGTGAGCAGGTTCCTATTCTTCTTAGTTTAAATATAATTTTCCCAGTTATATAACGTAGTTTGTAGGTGTATTAGGAAAGAGATTAATAACCATATTGTGCCTCAGTTTCTATACCTGCAAATATATGGATGGTTTGAAAGATGAATAAAAGTATACAGAAAACTTCGAAGTCTTGATGAGAGAATATTGATAATTGTAAAGGATTAGAGTGATTATTGTGATTACAAGGTAAGAATTCTTTCCACCCAGGCGACTGGAGGAAGACACAGAAAATCTATCGTATTGCACTGCTGATTTCAAAGGAGTTGCTTTGAGACTACTAAATGCTGAGAAATTGAACACTGGCAGTACCGGCTCACTAACAATTTTGTTGTTTTCAGTTTTTAAGTTACACAAGAGTGGGTGAAAAAAATTTATTCTAGGTGCTTTTGCAATCTAGTGGGCTTATAATACCCAAAAGGCTATAGGATCAGTCTGTTGTCTTCTGCTTTTCTTCCCAGCTATAAAAATTATTTCTGCACACTTTCATCAGCACTAAGCTTCTTCAGGGCAATAAGAGATAGAAGAGAAACACCTGGTTCCTCTGTCAGGTATATTTCAGTTCTATTCCCCACCCACATTGTTAGCTCAGCTTTGAGGGCCATACTGCTTCTAGTGGCCCCTCTTTGTTTTACTGCCAAATGCCCCCAAACGAGAATAAGCTTACCTGACAAAATTACATCTCATAAATTAAAAATAAGGTTTCTTCCTTCCTGCTTCCCCACTCTTCACTTTATACCACATACATGCCCACATTTGTATGCATACAGACCACCAGAGGAAGGATGAGAAATGGAAGAACAGTGGTTCATCTCTAAAGTCTGATACTGCTCTGTGGAGGCTGTTAGTGTTTGGCCTCCACACTTTAAAGGTATCTTCAGGTAACCTACACTATCTATTATTTTAGGGGCAAGAATCACCACCATTTCACTTTCTCTTTGTGAATTTTCTCTTCTCTGTGCTGCCAGTCAGCATCAAATTTGGACTGCATTCCAACCAAAAGAACTTACAGTTTTTGTTACATCACTGTTTAGTTGGCCCTGTTAATTTAGTTTTTATATTAACATTGAGATATTTTGTGATTGATCACAAATATTAGACATTCAGTCTATAGTTGTTATCATCACCTTATTTAAGATGTAATGATCTAATCACAGTACTTCCAGAGGTTCTGATTATTACCAGGGACAAAATGTCCTGTGCTTTTGGTAATTCCCAGACTGGTTTGAGGGCACATCAAGAAAGATCTCAAAGAAGAAAAGGCAAATACTACACACTAGTGCTGTGTAAACCCAACCACCATAATTCTAATTTTATTTGAATGTTTGGTGGTCATAAATAGCTACCTATTTTCTTTAAGGTATAATTCACAGTGGACATTTTAATATGCAAAACTCTCCCTGCTGGAAATTTGCAAACATAAATCAAAATGCAGTCTTAAAGCCCTCAATGTAATGTAACAGAAGAGCAGAAAAGCACTAAAACAAAAGGTATGACATTTATTTTTACAAAAGCAATAGACACAAGATGGATAATATATAAACTTCATTCGTGTCCTACTTTTGTGATCTATTGTTATCTGAAACATTAATTTCATATATCCTGTTCCTCTCCTCTGTAATCACAGTTTAAAAACAACTTGGATTGGCACCTTTTCTATTTCAATATTAGGATTTTTGACTAGTCCAGAGCCAAAAAATATGCAACTGTTATTTGTAATTACCTGTAAAACCCATGTAGAATTCACTGTCACTAAACCAGAAGTTCGCAATTGAGAAACTGAACCCTAAAACCACTGGGACCTAGATACCTGTTAAATTAACTTTTATAGCAGTTAAAACTTTAATAACTATAAGCTGTTTACCTAAAAAATTTGCTGCCACGTTTGCTATGAAAATGTCGAGGACACATCAGAATTACCTTTCAGAAGTCATGCAAGGAACAATGTTTCCCCCTAGGAGTAGTAAGAGCACATTTTCCATTTTGACTTTCTTGCCAGACAGCTTGGAATCGTATCTGAACCTGAATTATAGTAACTGTCTGAATATATATAAACATAGTCATAATATATTTCCTAATCATGATTTTTGTTTATTTTCTTTTATAATACTTCGTAGTCACGTCAACGCAATCTATTTGTTCTACATCGTTTCTGATCTCTCAATTTTAGTCTAATATCCCTGGGTTTACACATACATGTTTTTCTTGTGAGTCAACACAAATTATGTGGGAAGCAAATAGAGTTTAATTAAAATAAATAAAATTATATTGTTGTAATCATCAACCTGCAAGAAATACTAAAATACTGATGACTCGGCTGTAATGAAATTAAGGAGGACTGATATTATCAGTCCCCCCCCATCCTGTTTAAAAATGCTTTCTCGATTTAAAACAACAGCAGTAACAAACTAAGGAAGAAACATGTTGATCAATCATTCTTCCCCATCTCCAAGCTTTTTTTCTTCCTAAAGAAAAATTAACAGAAATGTTAACTAAATTTTTTTAAGTCCCAAATCCTTTATATAAAAAGTCTTGATAAGTTGTTGTAGACAAAACCCATTCTTAGAATTTATCAGTCAGTTGTTATATATTGCCCTGTGCTAGTTATTTTTAAGAGATCAAAATAAAATTCACTTCTGACAGCCCAAAATAGTTACTGACATTGTAACTAAAGCAACATTGTAACTAAAGCCTACTTTGTACAGCTCACCTGGCAGAGCAGGGTCTAGAAACAGTTCTGATGTAACCTAATTGTGCTAATTACTGTACACCCCTTCTGTGAGTAGGATAATTGTCATACTAACAGTTGCCATGAAAGTAGAACAACTGCAGTGAAGCCATTAGATGATGATCTCTGACTACCTTAAATGTATGCATGTATGCTGACATTTAAGAGGTTATCTGAAGTCAAGCAGTATCCATTTTTCCAATGAGCAAGTAACGATATATGTAGTAGTCTACTAAGATGAGAACTTTAGTCCTGTTGCGCAAAATTTCTGAACACATGATTATTAATATGCAGTCTTCATAACATCTGAGCAGAGAGACATGGGAACTTTGGCTCCTATCCTCATCCCTCAAATTATCATCTGGGAGCCATTTTTTTCCATTTTTTCATTCAGCCTATAGTTATTTATGCATTTTTCTCATCTCCTCAACTAAACTAGAGTCTCCTGAAGTCAGGAACTGTATTTTATAAAATCTCTGGGTTCTATACAGAGCCTTAGACATGGTATAGACAGACAGACAGACCGACAAATCTACTTAAGAATGACCTGGGTTTCATTTTAAAGTCATACAAAAATATATCTTTGCTCAATTAGCTGGAATGTTGTATTTTTTGAAAACACTTTTAAATGGCAATAATCAGAGACATATTACTCTAAGACAACTACTTGAGATATCTTAGTTCCCAAAAAGGTTCTTTGTAAACCAGGAATTAACTATTTTTAATATACTTGGATCTGAAGTTTTAATGACCCACACTTCAGTATTCTGTCAACTGCTCCAGAATCGTTGTCATAGTTACCTAGTATCAGGAACATAAAGCTAAATAAATTTCAATACAATCTTAACCCATTGCAATTTCTGAAGTGATACATTTTAATAGGTTTTGCAACATCAGAGGCCTCCATAAAAATCCATGCAAATAAAATAAAAGATTACAGACTTGAATATATGCTGATGTTTTTCAAGAAATAGAAATGCTTTCAAATGAGCTCTCACCTAGTGAACTAATTTTAATTTGTTGATCATGTTTCAAACAGAAAGTTAAGATTCATCTAGGAATGGTAATAATGCTTTAATTGTGTGAGTGGGTTGAATCAGATAATGCAGTATCATTTGTAAAGAGTTCTTATGTTTTCTACAGGTGGATAAGTGGAGCAGCTGTAGTCAATGCATTTTACTCTTCAGGAAGAAATCAGATAGGTAAGGTGTATTCTTAAATAATTATTTAATATTTCTCTATCGTTCCCAACCTGTAGTGCATTGTATGACCAATTACAATACCTCTAAACAAGCACAGCTGAGGCTGAGTTATTGCTCTATTGAATGCATTTCTTGAAAGTAAATGCATCCGTGTACCTTCTTTCACTATAGTGGGAAAATTCAGATTGGTACAAATCACGTTAAGTAGTTTTGTTTCTTTTACAATATTCTTATTTATATCTAAAATGGTTTATCTTATTTCTAAATATTTTTATTTTATTTCTAAGTACCTTTTTTAAAGTCCCTTGAATATATCTATATAAAGTCATATTGACTTTAAGACTCATTAAGCATTAGCTTCTTAAAGTGGTTTAAGGTTTCAAGAGCCAACTTTTCACAGATCCAGTCCTCCTGGCAATTCTGTATGCTGGCTCTGTGAGAGATGATCCTATTCTATGTCATCTTCATTCAGGAAGGCTCCAAGGGGTTTAGAAAGTTGGAATCTCAATTATATTCGATTGAATCGTATGAAATTGTATTTACCTAGCCACAATTGATCAAAAAAGAAAAAATTTCGTAAGTTCGCTTATAGTATTATTACAGACATATATATACATTAACACATGAATAAGTTATCATATATGATGAATAACTGAATGACATAATATGACAAAAATATTTTCTTCTTCTTGGGAAGGCCTGGACATCTTTGAACATACATTGGCTCACATATATCACTTATCACATACATTGGCTCATTTTTTTTCAGGGGGTTTTTAGCATTAGAAAGGTACTCAACTGATTCAGTACTGCCAGAAATATTCTAAACAAATAGTAGAGCAAGCTTCTGCAGGTGCACTCAGTTCTCCAGGTACACTCAGTCCTGCCCTTCATTTCTAAACGTGGTCTAGAATTAAGAGAGATGATAATCTCAGCATTATTCTAAACCATTCTTCTTATAGCTCAGAGTCTGTTGTAAGCCTCATTTTTATTGAATTCTATTACCAATTAGATTAGAAATTATAAAAAATCTTACAAGATATTTATCATTGGCTAAAAAAAAACTAACCTTAAAATAAATTGTATATTTTTAGGTTAAAGTTTGATTATACCTTTCCCCGTTGCTTTCAAGTCTAAAAAGAGTTAGGTTAAGAAGTTATCTACAGTTTCTTCTAGTATTTTTATGATTTCTATTTTTGGAGTAAAACCTGAATCCATCTGGAATTTACGTTGGTACATGACCTGAAACTGAATTATATAAAGTAACCAGAAAAGACTGTTTTGTATAACATATAAATAATAAGTAAGATATGTTTACTTGGCTTAAAATTACTTAGCTCAAAGTCTAAGCTAATGCTTTCTGGCTAGGGAAATGATTACCCAAACCCATACCAGAACGTGCTTAATAATCAACTCCTCAGAACCTTTGCAGTCAGTCCTTTATAATATATTATTTGAAACCATTCAAATCTTGTTTTAAAATGCCTTTATCTCTAGAGAGTCTTCACTTTGAAGCCCTCTTTTTAATATTCAGTAGTTCTGTCAGTGTCTAGTTCATTTGGTACTGAGACAAACGTAATAATTAACTTTCAATGGAATCCCAAGTCAAAGCAAGGCAACTTAGACTCCTTAGTGCTGCATTAGAGCAGAATAAGGGATGCAGCTTCATTTCAGTCCAGCCCAGGGAGGACCCTGGATCCTATCGGAGCTCATGCTGGTGCATCCTCAGTAGGACCACTCTGGCATGTTCAGTCCTTCAGCCCTTCTCTAGAGTAGGCTCAGGCATTTATGCCAAGCAGGACCTTGTTTGATTCTGAATTACCCCAAGCCCCTGGAGGTGGCTCCAAATTGGCCCACTTCAGGGATTCCCCGATCAGAGAAGAGCTGAAAATATTTTCATTTTGAGTATAATGTCTTGAAACCAAAGAAGCACACAGAAAAAGGAAAAAGAAGGTAAAAGTGGCCCAATAGTGGTCTATTTCACAAAATAAACAATAATCCTCTGGTAAATCAAGAATTAGCTATAATAACAATTCTGAATATATAAAAAAGACCTTTTCCAAGATCCTTAAAATAAGGATCCAATGGAAATATAAAATAAGAAAACTTGTTAACCTCTTTTCATATGCTTGCCTGGTTCTTGAACAGCAGAAGAAGGGAAATCCTTGAAATGTACACTTTTTTTCTTTCACAATTTAAATCTTCAAAGTGGGGATTGTCTTAACTAAAAATAGTTGAAGAGTCAAATCTCCATCTTTTTTCTTGATAGGAATGTTTATGTGGGCTGGGTGTGGTGGCTCATGTCTGTAATCTCAGCACTTTGGGAGGCTAAGGTGGGTGGATCACCTGAGGTCAAGAGTTCGAGACCAGCCTGGCCAACATGGTGAAACCCCATCTCTACTAAAAATACAAAAATTAGCCCAGTGTGGTGGTGGGTGCCTGTAATCCCAGCTACTCGGAAGGCTGAGGCACGAGAATCGCTTGAACCCAGGAGGCAGAGGTTGCAATGAGCTGAGATCATGCCACTGTACTCCAGCCTGGGTGACAAAACAAAACTCTGTCTCAAAAAAAAAAAAAAAAAAAGAAAGAAAAAGAAATGTGTATGTGTATATAAATACACACATACCTACCTATATACATGTCTTCTGCAACACTGTCTTAATGGATTTGGGATAATGTCCATTATAAAATTAGGGTTGGTATAGAGTAATATGTGCCACGTAAGTGAGCCCCTCCCTCCATACACACACATAGACATACAAATACTCCAAATTAGACTGCATACACTTTCTCACGGGATTGGTCATTTTATGTTGTTATGTTAAAAAAAGAACTTGTTTTGTTATATAGAGACTTACTCATATCAATAATTTCTACTTCTTAATTCAGTTTTCACCATTTTGTTAGAACTCACACATGTAGGCTACATTCCAATTTGTATGCATTCCTACTCTTCATATCAACAAAAAAGTCAATTTCCAAGAAAGAAGGCAAACTAAAAGTGCTTAATCCACTGTTCCTCTTCCTTGCATGTTTACTTCATGGAGCTCTAGAAGGCCCCTGTGCCATGACATTAGGAAAGCTGCGCTTCAATGTTTTGTCATATGGTTCTCTGTAAGTTCTAGGTGCTGTTCAGTCATCTTATTAAACCTTAAAATCGCAGTCAAGGAAATAATTTAGTGTATTCTCCTTTTTCATTAAAATTGCAGAAAGGATCTTTTAAATCAATTTTTTTAATTTCTCAAATGTGTAAGTTCTTCAGTGTGTTCAGTCTGTGTCGACTATAAATACCTTGAGATAGTTAAATTTTCTAAATTGCCTTATTTATTCTTAGGAGTTTTATTTTCAGACTTGAAAATTAAGACTGTTTCCAAACATATTGTTACTCCATTTAATATAAAAAGAATGTTTAGACTATGCATGGTGGCTCATGCCTGTAATCCCAGTAGTTTGGAAAGCTGAGGTAGGCTGATTACTTGAGCTCAGGAGTTGATACCAGCCTGGGCAACACTGTAAAACCCCATCTCTACCAAAAACTACAAAAAATTAACTGGGCATGGTGGTGCATGCCTGTGGTCTCAGCTACTTGAGAGGCTGAGGTGGGAGGATTTCCTGAGCCTGAAAGGTGGAGGTTGCAGTAAGCTGAGGTCACACCACTGCACTTCAGCCTGGGTGACAGAGTAAGACCCTGTTTCAAAAAAAAAAAAAAAAAGAATGTTTAATTATTTTCCACCAAAAAAATTACTTAATTGCTGCCTTAGGCTACATATGAAATATTCTAAAATTGAATTGCTAGCAGCCTTCAGAAAATAAACCACAGAAGTTGTGCTGGGGAGGCAAAAACAGGGGGAAGAGGAGACATGGTCTTTTGCTTCATGGCCCAATGACTTATTTAATTAACTAACTTGTTGACAATCATGAACATAAAAAATGCACAACTAAGCAGTTGGTTATAAACAACAGTTGTGATGCCTACTAGGTAACAGCAATAAGGCTAGTGGGGAAAATCCTCCTTACAGAGATTTAGCTGACAAAGTAAAAGGGGAGGTCATAATTAGCAAAGTTGAACTTGAAGACTAATATTTAATAAGAACCATAAAATCTTATCACTTGCCTGAAGAATGGCATATCAGGGTATGATTAAAGCAGCAGGATCTTTGTAGTTAATATTTAGTCTTGATAGCACATTTCATAACAGCATTTTATATAATGGGTGGATTTTAATCAAAGTACATAGTGTGGGAGATAGTATTCACTTTAACTTAATAAAGTACTGCACATAATTTTTATACTTTAAGGTAAAAATAAGTTCATGGCTCCATTTAGCTCAGGCTGCTACACGTGAGGTATAACTTTCATAAAAATTCTCTAAAGACAAAAGTACTTTTTTGTTGTCGTGTCATTTGAATGTTATGGCAACTTTCCAAATTTTTGTAGAGGTCTGGGGAGCAATTAAATTGCTCAGATGCTTTTTGAAGTCTTCTCTGTAAATATCTAATATTTATCCCTGAAGCCCATGCAAGGTTATACTGTGTTCAGCCCACCTGAAAGACAAAGAAATAACATGTGCTACTCTGTGTTAACTAGATCTTAAATTTCTTAAGGTCAGGGCCCTTGTTTTATTTTCTTAATGTCCTGCATAGCAATGACCCAGGGCTTTGCACTTAATAGGTATTGATACTGAAGGGTTTTTTTTTAATTACAGAAAGTAACGTTTCAGTTATTCAGTGGATGCTAGAGTTTTAAGCCATTAAAGATAGAATTACTAAACTATGAACATTTAATTAATTTAATTTTAATTTCTTTCTAAGGTCAAAGATTAGTTACCTCCAAATAACATGACCCAAAATTTGATTAAACAGGGGAAATATATTCCAAGGGAAGATACTCTCCATCTTTTATTAGTATTTAAGACACATTATTAGTATATTTCAGAAATAGTGAAATATATTTCATGAGAGTATATATTATAAGAGGATACTGGAATGGGGCAGGGAAGGGGAGGGTATGATGGAGGTGGAGAGGTGGGAGAGGACCCTGGGGCCATAGGCCAGAAAGATGTGTTTAGCTAGAGAGCAATGGTAAGCCTTCCAAAGATTTTTAGCAGGAGAATGATGATGCCCAGAGTTGTCTTTAATCTGGCTACAGGATAGATTCAGAGAGTAGATTAGATTTAGAATAGATTGTAGTTGTGTGAGACAGAAAGTGGGAGACTGATTAGGAAATTAAGTCATTCCTGAGACAAGGAATGAGAGTATGTGTAAACAGTAATACTGACAGGAGAAGATAAAGATGCTCCTGAAAGCTACCTCACCCAGCCTCTGCCTAAGCAGACTTGTAAAAGACTGTAAAAGAAAGGAGGCATCTAAGATAAGTAGAAACATTTACTTTTGCTGATAGAGACCCTTCAAGGGCCATTAGCAGAAATAATACAAAGACTGAGGGCCTAGAGGGGAAAATGAATTTGATGTTTGATGCATTAAATATAACACATTTGTGAGACATCTGAATGGAGAAAGTTAGCAAGTTAATGCAGATGTCAGAGTAGACATACTGAAAACTACAATTCATTTATTTATTCACTAAACTCTGTAGGACACATTAGTAAGTTAGGGTGATCATTCATTTATTTATCATTGATTATTCATTGATTCAGCACATTTCCTGAGCCCTGATTATGTTCCAGGTACTATTCTAGTTTTAGGCATTGTTCAATTTTAGGCATTTAGATAATGAACTAGAAAAATGTATGAAATTAAAAAATAAACAAATATATGTACAGACACAGAAATCTCTGCTCTCAAAGGGCTAATATTTGAGGAGCTGGGGTAGGATTAGGGCAGACAAGAAAAGGAAGGACTGTGATCATAAAGAAATAAATAGAATATGAGGTAGTCATAAGTGCCTTGATGAAAATAAGGTAAGGTTATGTGATTGAGGTATACCTTCAATTGAGTGGCAATACTTATTTAAGATATTATTGTAGATGGATACAATTTCTGCAATAACATTAAAAATAATATTGGTGTTACTGAGTAACTATTTCTTCCAAATATTTATAAGGCAGAAAGGACCTTCTGAATGAAGGTTATAACTTCCCTTTGCTTCAAACTCCTTACAGCACAAAACAATCTTGGATTGTAAAGTGAATCGTGATGATAAATCATAGTTTATAGCACCACTCCAAGGTGAACTCTGTTGTCATCCATAATAAAATGCCTGCATTGGTTTCTATTACAGAAGGTTTTTGTATATAACTAAGTGAAACTGACATAGTGAACAGCAGCTTAGCAAGCACAAAGCCAACCCCAAGCCTGCCATCACTGAATAATGCCATGGTGGCATGCGCCTGTAGTCCCAGCTACTCCTGAGGAGGGAGGACTGTCTCTAAGAAAATAAAAATTTTAAAAACTTATGCCACAAATAATCTCTAACTATCTTCTCTCCTTGTAGTCTTCCCAGCCGGCATTCTGCAGCCCCCCTTCTTTAGTGCCCAGCAGTCCAACTCATTGAACTATGGGGGCATCGGCATGGTCATAGGACACGAAATCACCCATGGCTTCGATGACAATGGTAAAGTGCAGTTGACATTTTCCTTTGGCTGAGGTATATGCTCATAAATTTGATTAAGAGTTATTATAATTTATTACTACAAAGCTACATTTATTCAAACATGTATCATTTCTCTAATTTTCACCACACTTTCAATTTTCCCTTTAAATTGTTGCTTAAAGAGATCAGAAAATTCTCATAGTGAGTTAAGCAATGTGTGCTTTACACTCTGGCAGAATGAAGTAAATATTCCCATTGGGAAAATACTATGGTGTTTGTCAGCGGCAGTGATAATACTAGGTCTTAGTTTCCTGGTTGTATATGACGTATCTTGTCATACTCTTAAAGGACAGGCTGCATGTCTATGTCTTAAAATCAGATGTAAAATCAGAAAATATTGCCTCTCCAAGAGCTCAAAAGACTCTTAAGCTGCTTAAGAGACCTTTTTTTTTTCGTCTTGTACCTACTACCTAGTTCAAGTCTTTGCAAACAGTTAGGCACTTAAATGCCACCCTAAATGGAAAAATCAATTTAGAGTTTCAATCAAAGCTGAATTCCTGAGAGGAATAAAGACGTGAAATATGTAAAGAGGTGATAGTTCAATCTATGACAAATTTCATTCACAAATGGAAAGTAGAGAACAATAGAGAGAAAATACTTAATCCCCATTTTAGAGAGCCAGAGAAAGAAAAAGAGACAGAAATGTTAGAATTCTTAAAAAGACTTACTAAGTGTCTATTAACTCAAACTATGCAACAGTCTTTACAGGTAGGTTCTAATACTGTTTCTGTTTTCCAAGTGGAAAAAAATAAAAACACATGAAAGATTTGCCCAAAGGTAACAAAGATAGGAACTGGTAGAACCAGAAGGTGAATTCAAGTAGGTTGGCTACATAGCCCTTTTCTTAATCACTACGTCATAGGCAAATATGAAAAAGATGGTAATATTGTGTCAAAACACATGATACATATAAATGCAATTGGAGCTCAAAAGGGAGAAAGATCGATGTAGTTTGTGGTTGGCAAGGAAGCTGTAGGAGAAAAAGACTTTTTTTGTGTGCTTGAAGTAGAGGGAAACTATGAGTCCACAGTGTCCTATGAAGGGTCCAGGAATATAAAAATGCCAGAATAAAAATGTTGGCCATTTTAAAAATCTCAAAATATCAAACTAAACAGACTTGGGTCAGGTAAAAACCATTCAACAGAACAAGGCATAACTTCAAGAATATTTTGTCTGGCGGCCTCTTCTGAGATATCAAGAGCCAAATGGGTGAAATGTCTGGGTCAATGCTGAGAAGCATTAGCAAAGAAAGCTCTGGCAGTCCAGGCTTTGCCAACTCTGTGATGAGGAGGGATGACAGTCTCTCTCATCGTCTGCCTAATTTAATGTTCTGTCACACAGCAGTATTTCAGTCCTTGCACTTTGAATTAAACATATCTTATAATTCTTGTTGCAATGAGTTCCCATTTTACTTAAATAAATATATTATAGGCAGAAACTTTAACAAAGATGGAGACCTCGTTGACTGGTGGACTCAACAGTCTGCAAGTAACTTTAAGGAGCAATCCCAGTGCATGGTGTATCAGTATGGAAACTTTTCCTGGGACCTGGCAGGTGGACAGCACGTATGTCATTAGCATTCTCTTGAAAAGTTTTAGACATGTTCAATCTTAAGTGTATTATTGGTGGTTTCTTTTTTTAACAATCCTAATAAAGTGTCTTTTTTAACAGCTTAATGGAATTAATACACTGGGAGAAAACATTGCTGATAATGGAGGTCTTGGTCAAGCATACAGAGTAAGTAAAAAAGATTTTCTTTCCATTTTAGTGATTTAGAGTGTTTCTCATATTTAATAATTCATTTAAAACCTTTTGCAAAAAAAGAAACTCATATAAGCAGTAAATGATGAATAGAAAATGGAAAAAAATATGAGAAGAAAGAGTGGTGAATATGCTAACCATAAGGGTCAATACATTGATGTGACGGAGCTGAACACTTAAGTTTGCAAAGAGCCAAGAAGAAGAGAAAATATGGAATATTATATCAGCTGAAATGAGGAGAGAGCAGGTTCACAAAGGAGGCAACATTTTTCTAAGAAATAATCTCTGGAATAATTTTTTTAGAAGAAATGTCCCATAAGAAGGATTATTTCAGGGTCTTTGACCAATATAAGAAACAGGACCTTCAGTTTTGTAGCAGGTGAAGTAGCATTTGGGAACAAAAATCAATGTAAACCACAGGCATATTAAACCATAGTTCATATATGATACAGTAAGGGACTGACGTGATATGGTTCCAGCACATGGCCTTGTAGTCAACCACACTATTATACACAGAGGACTATTAACAGTGGAGCATCCGTTAGAATCCCATTTAGCCTTCCATTCATTCTTGCATTCAATACATATTCATTGAGGCTTAATAGGTTTGGCAGTATTCAAAGAGCTGGAGATAAAGCAATGAATGCTTTATGAAAGGTCATTATTTGAGGATCTGAGCAAGGGTTAAAAAATAGTCTGGTGGATGCCATGTGCATAAGAAAAAGCAGGGAATTTCATAAAAGGGTGGAGGAATGATGGTCTAGGAAGCAACAAAAAGGAATGAAGATGATTTTGAGTGTTTTTCTCAACTATGAAGTAGCCCATATGTAGGAGAAAGAGCAGCATCTACTTGAGATGTCACAAGGAACAACTTGTTCCTAGGCTAGAACTAGGCTTCTCTAAGACAAGGATGGATGGAATGATCAGTGGAGTGAATGAGGATGTAGAATCATTTGTTCATTATAGAAATGTTTGGATTAGAGTGGAGGAGGTGAACATCAATGGTTGGATCAGGGAAGAGGAAGCACCAGAGAAGTGGAGAAAGAGGTGACTGATGGGGCCTGCAGTTTGTCAGTGACCAAAGATGATCAGAGTGTGAAGCTTGGGAGATTAAGTCAGCTACAAGGTTTCCAAAAGAATGAGTCCAACCAGTTCCAGGGACATGGGAGATTGCTGCTACTTTGAATGTTTAGTAATTTTTTTGTTCGATGCCAGACATTATGCATTTTACCTCTTTTTTTTGAGATGGAGTCTCATTCTGTCGCCCAGGCTGGAATGCAGTGGCACGAACTCGGCTCACTGCAGCCTCTACCTCCTGGGTTCAAGCAATTCTCCTGCCTCAGCCTCCCAAGAATTGGGATTACAGGCATGTGCCACCACACCTGGCTAATTTTTGTATTTGTAGTAGAGATGGGATTTCGCCATGTTGGCCAGGCTGGTCTCAAACTCCTGACATCAAGCGATCCACCTGCCTTGGCCTCCTAAAGTGCTGGGAACACAGGTGTGAGCCACTGTGCCTGACCGCATTTTACCTCTTTGGGTCTGGATGTTCTTTTGTTCCTGTAAATATTCTTGAGCTTTATTCTAGGATACAGTTAAATTCCTTGAAAATGGTTTGATCTTTTTGGGTCTTCCTTTTGTAACTTTTATTGGTTGGGATGGGGACAGTGTTCAGTCTAGGGACATTATTCTCAACTGCTGAGATAAGAATCTACTCTGTGAATCTTGGGGATTTCCATTCTTGTCCTGTGTAAGTACCATAAATTATTATCTCTAATCCTTTTGAGATATTGTTTTCCTAGCATTGGGTATTTTGCTCACACACATCTTCAGATCAAGACTAAGCTGAATGCTTGAGGATGACCATCTGTAATCTCTGAGGTTCTCTTTTTGTGTAGCTTTCTCCTCTTTAGTAACCTGTTCTTGGTGTCCCTGAACTCTCAGCTCCTTATCCTCAACTCAAGGAGTACCCCCAGCTCTGACTGGTTTGCTCCTATGATATGGCCTGAAAACTCTCAGGACAATAAGCTCAGCAGTCATGGGACTCACTGAGAGTAAAGTTTAACATCTCTCAGGGGTCATTCTCCTTTTGCCTGATGTTCAGTGTTATGCAAACCATTGTTTTAAATATTTTGTTCATCATTTAGTTGTTTCCACAAGAAGTTAAATCCAGTCCCTATCATTCCATCTTGGCTGAAAGTGGAAGGCATTGGCACTCAATATTCCCATGGTGATTCTAATACACAGCCAGATTGAGAATCACTGCTATAAAATCCAGCCAAAGTTGGGATTGATAGTACTCCCATGGAGAACCTCACCTAGAGCAAGTACAGAATTGTTAATGATGAAGCAAATTACAATTGTGCAAATATTTTATTACACTTTGAAAATATGTAAATTCTTAACGTGTAATGCCTTGCCCCCCTGCTAGATTGCGAGCTCTCTAAGAGGGAGCAGGTGCAAGCCTTTCCCATATCCCCAGCATCTTTACATAGTAGAGGTTCAATAAGTCTATGTTGACGGTAAGTGGAAGAAATGAAATATATTTTCTGCTCATCTAGTTGGTCACATTCCTTTGTATTAAATTGGAAATGACACATCTCAGAACGTTTATTATGAATTCGTTTTAAAAGTTTATTTAGTAGAGGAAAACTCATTTTTTTCAGTAGCATAAATCTTTAAGAATTAAGAGGATTTTCTGACATTCAAATTACCTAAATATTTTCCTTCAAATGTACCTGAGGCTCAGTCCATTTTGTCCTGTCTTCAAAAGACCAGAATAGTTGCATTTTATTATCCTCAGACTCATTGGAGACTAGGCCTCTAAGGGATCTCAAGAGAATCCTTTGACTTGGCAAGAATCACTCGATCTTAGTCTGGTGAGTCTATTTTGCTAAGATAGTAGTAACTAAGTTAAATGTAGCAATTGCAGACTTCCTTGGCAATTCATTTGTCCTGACTGGTCTTATTCATCAATTTATAAAACAACATTTAGATAAGTTTTTCATCACTTATTTAGGTCATCCATTCATTCAGTTGACATTTATTGATCACTTGACATATGCCAGGCTCTTGTCATCTACTATTCAGTAGCTTCTTCTTTTCAAAGCATTTGTAAATAAATTTGATTTGTCTTTCTAATCCATAAAATAGTTGTAGGTTACCATAACTAAATGTATTATCAGGGTGATTTTAACATAAAATGTTAATTACTTGGTGGCATGATCTTTTACATAGGTTTATATATAACCTTAGGAATTAATATTATTGTTTTTCTATTTTATCAACTGCCTAGGCCTATCAGAATTATATTAAAAAGAATGGCGAAGAAAAATTACTTCCTGGACTTGACCTAAATCACAAACAACTATTTTTCTTGAACTTTGCACAGGTATTGTGTCTTTCTTGATTGATAGATATGAAAACCATTTTGAGTTATAATTTCACAGTAAGTTAGATGTCACATGCTGAGTTCCCTTGTTTTACAGAGCATTTGACTTGATTCACTTTCATTGTTTATAATAGACTGTTGGATCATATTAATGATAAATAACTATGTTCCTGGTTGCCTTTCATTGAACATTATTTGAAGAGCGAATGGTTGAGGAATGCAGAATTCCAATTTAATTTTTCTCCTTCCCCTCAACTTGCTCAAACAAATAATCCTTGATTGAACCTGAGTACATGCTTTGCTTTTCCTATTCCTATCTCTAGGTGTGGTGTGGAACCTATAGGCCAGAGTATGCGGTTAACTCCATTAAAACAGATGTGCACAGTCCAGGCAATTTCAGGTGCGTGGATATGAACAGCAATCAAGGTGCTCTTATATTGGGTCCATTGCTTCCACATTTGGAATTTAGACTTTTCTAACTCTGATTCTTTTACATTTGGAAATTCAGTGCTTTTTTTTTTTTTTGAGAGTCAAAGGTAGGATCGAGAGAACACATCGGAGCATTCTACATAAGCATAGCCTTGGCCACTCTCTTTCTTAGAATCTACAATAATTATAATTCCTTAGAATCTACGAGGCTCAGGGCTTGATCTATTCCAACAAAGATGTCGCCTCAGAACAGTGGCTCAATTTAAAGCTAGAACAAAGATATTTCTAAGAGGCTGTGAATGGTTTAGGCCCAGACCCAATGAGCTCCAACTTGCAAAGAAAAATTTCAATATAAAGGAAACTTTCTACTAATTAGAGGTTCTTCAATATGGAATAACATTATTCCCAAAGCTTCAGGAGAGAGTACATTGAAGCACAGCCCATCAAGGATGTGAGAGAAAAATGCTCTACAGAGTAGAAAACTGAGCTAGAAGAAGTTAAAGTTCTTCCCAAATTAGAAAATCAAAGAGAACAATGATTGAAGAGAGTCACTCCAACCAACATTTGAATGTTAAATCATAGATCCTATGTATTTGTTTAAGAACTGAATTCCTAATGCTACCCCTTTCCCATGTACTAGAACACTTAGTCACTCATTTGCTGATCAACAACACCTCTCAGGCAAGAAAGTTAAAAAAAAAAACCTAAAAATTTTGTAGGGTAGTTGGAAAATGAAATTTGAGAACAAAAGAGAACTAATGGGCTAAATTTCAAAAGCTCTACATAAAATGAATGTAAGCATACTGCCCAGATCATTTACTCCTGGGAAAAAACACATTCGATTATGGAGAAAAACACATTTAATTATGAAGCAATAAAGTAGTTCATTTAAAAATTAAAGAATTTATTCAGCTTGCTAGTATCATCGTTGTCATCATCATCATCATCATCATCATCATCTAGTATTTGCCCTAACATTTCTTTCAATATTCATTCACTCAATAACTGCTTATGGTATGCCTATTATCTCTGTAATCCAAGCTAAATTTAGTTCTGCTAAGATATTCAAATTAACTGCTTTATAGGTAATGAGCAACAAAAGTGACTGGATTAATTCCCATTGTGGTTTATTCAAAAAACTTTTAGTTTTAATTTTTTTAAAGTTGTCTTTTTCCTTACTAAAGTGAACTTAAGCTTTGAGGTAAGAAACACTTGAGTTCCAACCATGGCTTCACCATTTACTAGCTGTTAATGTAACCTCTGTACCTCAGTTTCTTGATATGTAAAATAAGGATTAAATTATCATGAGAGTTGCTAGAGGATTAACGTTAATATAAATGAAGAGCCTATTTTGTGTGTGTGTGTTTGAAAGTCCATACTAGGATTATTTGTAGACAAGAGGTATGAACAGAATAAGAATTCTTATGCATTTTGTAATAGTTCCCTATCAGTCAAGGCTTTTTTGGTGCTCATTTCTTATGTTCTGCACATTTCAGAATGTTAGTAACTGATCAGCAGTTAAGTAAAACGTACATAAGTATATAACTGTTTTCTAGCTCCAATTTTAAACTGAAAACAATATTTTGCTATAAATTAGTTAAATTATTTGTATCTTTAAGTCTTTATTGTTGTTCTGGTTCCAAAGATCCCTCATCGACTATTTTTCATTCATAACAACAGAAGCGTGTGTGTGTGTGTGTGTGTGTGTGTGTGTGTGTGTGTGTGTGTGTGTGTGTGTGAAGGGTAAATGGAATGGGTAAATGGAATGCCAACCTTTTGTCAAGGAAATTATTGTTTTCTCTGGAGGTAAGGAGATTTTCTTGGCAAAAGGTTGAGCTTACATTTAGTTTTGGAAACAGGCCACTTCCTGGCTGTACAAAGTAAAACATATTTTTTAAAAAAACTTTAAAAATTAATAGATATCGAGTTGCTATTTAAGAATTGTGCTTGGTGGTTATATAGAAATATTTCTGAATTAGAGAGAGATTTGTAACCTTATGTTTAAATAGCCATAGTATTAAAACAAAAGGCAAAATACACTTGATACAAAGCTGCATCATAAAACCATATTTGCTATGTCTAACCTATTGTTGTTTTATTCTTCCTGACTAAAGCTTTATTTATGTACTTTAAAATAAACTTTAGAAGTTAAGGTATAAGAATCTAATTCTAAGGATAGCAGCTAGCATTTATAAGCTCATAAAAACCACCATGCAACCTAATTTGTCAAGGGTTTGCCCTGCATATCTCCATAAACTAAAACATAAGTCATAAAAACCTAGGTGAATTTCAGTAATATTATTGTAATACCTAGTATATCTACCATCCTCAGAGAATGAGAGGTTGCAAATTAAGTTTTGATAGGTAAAGTTTGTCTCTTTTAAGTATTAACATTTTTATCTTAACCACTGGATTAAAAATTATCTATTAAAAACACATTTCTACCTTCCTGCCTTAAAACAATATCCTGAAAAAAAAAGCCTAACCTTTTTTAAAATTTTGATGACACAGACTACTTTATGATTATTAGTTATGGTTTTACTGTTTATTAATTTAGTCTGTGGAGCTATTTATTCTTATACCAATTGTGATGCTTTTTGACTTATTTTGGGTTTTTATTAGGGTTTTTCTGTGTGTTTGTTTCTTTCCTAGTTTTCTTTCCTATTATTGTATTGCCTGCCTTTAGTTCCCTAATTCCTCCATTTTGATTAGCTCAGAAAACATTTTGTTAAATTTAAATGGTATTTAATCCAAAAACATTCTTCTTTTAATAGTCTAGAAATTGAATCTATAATTTAAATATTGACTTCATTTTGGAAATCCAGTTTTTGGTTAGCCATCTATAGTCATTTCAGGGAATATTTATTATAATATTTATATGTAATCTATAAATATGTTTCTAAAATTATTTAGCTGTAATTTTCTATATAATATGTAAGGGTCTGATAATTTTGTAAAGCAAGTCCAAATAGACAAAATGATTTAGGTGCTTAGATTACTCAACATTATCTTCCAGTCAGGAAGAAAGGGCACTTTTAGAACTGACACCACTATCAAAGCAAGAAATGTTTCTCACAGCTTAATTTCTAATATTTTGAAGGAATATTTTGTCTAGTGTTTTATATAGACATGTCAACTAATATGGCTATTTTGTTCCTTCATAACTCTGTAATTTAGCATGCTAATAAGCCCTCTTTGAAATTCTTCTGTTTCTTCCATTTCCCTTCAATATTAGCATTGGTTCCTGATATTTATAGATATCAATATAGATTTTAGTGAGTTTTGCAGAATTTCTGTTAGCCCCTCCAATCTTTAGCTGATAACTAGAAATCTATTACAGCATTTATTTATTTATGACTGTATAGCAGAACATACACTCATCAATATGACTTTGCTTTGAAAGAATCATAAAAATTAGTTAATGATGAAGATTGGATACCTTATTCCTGAATGAAGGCAGTTAACTATGTAGCCAAGTCATTCATTTACAAGAATTAACAAAAGGTTGTCTGAGGACCCATTAATTGCAAACAGTAATTCAGAAGTCCAATTGTAGTAGGCAGGAATAGTCAGATAGGATATAAAGTCCATTCTTGGTCCCAATGCCAAATCTCTTAGATGTTTTTAATGCAAGTAACTGTTTGCCAAGGGAATAAACATCAGCAGTACAATAAGTTATTTTACATAATAAAGTAAAAATTTCAAGTAAATCACCTTAAGAAATAATTAATAAAAGCTTTATTATCTTCTGTTATTAGAAACACAAGCACACAGTTTTGTAAAGCATGAAAATCATGTACATATCTTCTAATAACAGAGGATAATTCATGTAATGTGATCTCACTCTTAGAAAAAAAGTGTTTTATTAATAATGGATTCACTTTTCAAAATAGATTATCTAGGCCTGGCACAGTCACTCACACTTGTTAATTCCAGCACTTTGGGAGGCCAAGGAGGGAGGATCACTTGAGCTCAGGAGTTCAAGACCAGCTTGGGTGACATAGTGGGACCTCGTCTCTATTAAAAACAAAAAAATTACCCAGGCATGCTGGTACATGCCTGTAGTTCCAGCTACTTGGGAGGCTGAGGCAGGAGGATTGCTTGAACCCAGGAGGTCAAGGCTGCAGTGAGCTGTGATCGTGCCTCTACACTCCAACCTGAGTGACAGAGCGAGACCCTGTCTCAGAAAAAATAGATGATCTATTCAAAGATTTGATGTCATAAACACCAAATGTTAACTAAGAAAGTAAGTGAAGCCCTAGTGTGTTGTTGATCTATTCAGGATCAAATTAGGTAGAGTCTTTGGATGGAAAGAGGATGGGCAGAATGGGCATGGAGAGCTGAGTGCACACCAGGCTGAGTATTTCTGCAGTGCCCACTCTCTGCGGTGTTATCTGAAGACGTTTCTTTCTTTTAGGTGTTTTTTGTTTGTTGTTTTAACTTAATTTTGAGATTTATAAATATAAATCCTAAAAATACTTTTTAAGAAAAATATAGAATTAAGTCGTGGGTTTGGACATTATTACCGAAGTACTTGTTCCCATATGATAAAATCTAAGAAAAAATCCTTTGGAAAAAATTAATAAAATAAAAACAAAAACATGCAGCTCTTCCAGTCAGTGATGCTGATGGCTTACCCTGTCAACCAGGGAGCTTGCTCCCTAGTGTGAGGAATGCCCAGGATGACAGGATGACTGTCTTTAGCCAGTAGCTAGGCATCCTGAATTGGGAAGAAGGTTGCATTAATGAATCAAAGCTCCTCTCTAACATAAAGAATCCTTGAGTCCCGCAACCTGAAAGACTAAAGACCAATGCAAATTCCTAATTTCTAAGCTCTTTTAATTCCTACATAAACAGTCACTTTTGACTACATTATAGAAGTGATTTTTTTTTGGCTCATGAACAATGGAAATTTGTTTCTCACAGTTCTGGAGACCGGAAGTCTAAGATCAGGGTGCCAGCATGATCAGGTTCTGGTGAGGGCCATCTTCTGGTTTGCAGACTGCAGACTTCTCCTTGTACTCTCACATGGTCCAAATAGTGAATTTGTTTTTCAATATTTCAGATGTAAGAAATGGACATTTGTTTTTTTCAATCAAATTAAGCCAAACTCTGAGCTCTTAGACCAAGCTAGGAGATGAGCCATTTACTTTCAGTGGTTTTTCAACGTACTCTTTCAGGGTTATTCAGGAATCTGATATCATCACACAGGCATAGAAATTAGAGAATAGCCTCCATCTTCAGCCCACCGTGGTCACTGCTGAGATCCCTACAGTCCAAATGCTCCAGCTGGAGTCAGTGGTTCCATTTCCTTCCAATGCTCATGAGCTCCAGAGCCTCCACTCTTCATGTCCAGGTTCTCCAACAACCACACGCCATGCTATCAGAGGGCCTCTCGGGGCCTTGCTCAGAGCAGGAAGCATCTTCTTGTCATTCACACAACCTGCCATTACTGGAACCTACCCCATTCTTGGGAAGGCCAATCATCTCCCTGACAAGTGGACTAATATATAAATTCCCCAGCTTCTGACTCCACTTCACCTCAACCCTCCCACACCAGGAGATTATTTTTCGTCTTTAAGACTCATCTAGGAATCCTAAAAAACAAACAACCAGAAAAGATTACATCCTCCATGAAAGATAGGAGAGTTGTGGTGGAGAGGGATAGAGAAGTTAGTTGATGCGTTGATGGGTGACATATTAGAAAGTCAGACTTACAAAAAATCCATATGGATCTCTCTTTTCTGGAATGAGGAAAGGGAAAGAAAATGCTTTCTTTCTCTTCCAGTTGGTCCATAATATCAAACAAACAACAGAAACACTAAGTCGTGTTTTTCTTCCTAATACCCTATTGCTTCTCTACAGGTAATCACTGTGACCAACCAGGTCACAGGTTAATTCATTCAGTATGTACTGAGTCCTGTGCTGGACTTTGGGGGTGCAGCAGTGAGCAAGACATACACAGTACAGCATCTTCCCTCAGCATCTGTGGGGGTTTGGTTCCAGGCTCCCTGCAGATATCAAAATTTGTGGATGCTCAACTCCTTGATATAAATGGTGTAGTATTTGCATATAACCTATACACCTTCTCCCTCCTATACTTTGTCACCTCTAGATTACTTATAATACCTAATACAATGTAAATGCTATGTAAATATTTGTTATACTGTATTCTTTAGGGATTAATGATAAGAAAAGTAAGTCCATACGTTCAGTAGACAAAATATTTCCCCCACATATGTTCAGCCGCATTTGGTTGAATCCACAGATGTGGAACTCAAGGATACAAAGGCTGTATTTTGCCCTCATAGAAATTAGTCTAGTGGGTGTGTCAGGAAGTAAAAAAGGAGAACAAATCATTGTAAATGTGGTAAGTGCTTTGATAGGGATAGTCCCTGTAAGAGGAGTTAGTTTAGATGGCATTCAAAGAAGGGGGCCAAGGAAGGAATATTTAAGCAAAGGCATGAAGGCTGAGGAGTTAGCCATGTACTGACTGGTGAGTAACTTTCCAGGGAGTAGGGTCTGCAGGTAGCAGGAAGCTCTGAAGAGGGACAGGGTTTGGCTGGTTTGAGGAACTGAAGGTAGGTCAGCATAGTTTGAGCCTAAGGAGGAACAGGAAGAGAAATGTACCACGAGGAGGCTAGAGAGGAGACTGGAGCCATCAGGAGGACATTGGAAGCCATGGACAGGAGTTTAGATTTCCTTCAAGTCCATGGAAGGTTTTAAATCTGAGATTATGGAATCTGATTTAAATTTTACAGATCATTCTGACTGTGGTGTGGAGAATGGTTGGAGGAGAGAGAAGTCCTAAGATGTACACACAGTAGTACACCTGCCACGTAGGGAGAATTCCATAAATCAAAATGGACTCACCTGTCATTTGTGCCTAGTCCTTCCAAACCAGTCCACTTGTCTCTGGGCCCCTCCTCCCAACCCAAGCAAACGTGGTAGGCTGGCCTTAGCAGGAGGAGAAGGGAAGGAGGTGGTTCAGGGTTCAGGGTGGGTGTGAAAACATCACCTCTGCATCAATGTACTGACCCATCTCTCCCCTCAAACACTGCTAGGTGCAGATAGTGAGTTGGACTGTGTTGTTTTTGCCCACTGGGGTCAGAGATAAGAGGAAAATGGCATTTTGCCAGCCCTTTCCAGTTATTCAAGCTGAATCCAGCTTCTGATATTTAAGGAGCCCTTTTGGAAAAAAGGAAAATAATCCTCTATAAAAGCAACAAAAAATATCTATTTAAAGTCTATTATATTTAAGTCATTATGTGAGCCCTTTCAAGACATAGTGAGAAATCATGATTATATTCTTTGACCAAACTCTTATTATAATACAACTCCAAATACCTGCATTTTCAAATGTGAATTATTCATGTTTTACAAACACATATAATGCTTATAAATTATTAACTCTCCATGACAACCTTAAGATGCATGTTCTATTGTGCAGAAACCAAGGCACAAAGAAGCTTCATAAGCAGGATTCAAGCCATGTAGTCTGTCTCCCAAATTGCTTTTAACTCCTGTTCTTTGTTACTTCTCCATTTAAAAATTCTGTTAATGAGAAGGCACTGACTCATTGTACCAGGTTATTTTAAGTTTAACTTTAAATTCCAAATTCATTCACTTGACCTGCAGAGGGAAATGCTTCAGGGCTCCAGTGTGGTATGGACGTGAGTATCAAATGCTGACGGTGACTTTTTTTGTTTGTTTCAAAGGATTATTGGGACTTTGCAGAACTCTGCAGAGTTTTCAGAAGCCTTTCACTGCCGCAAGAATTCATACATGAATCCAGAAAAGAAGTGCCGGGTTTGGTGATCTTCAAAAGAAGCATTGCAGCCCTTGGCTAGACTTGCCAACACCACAGAAATGGGGAATTCTCTAATCGAAAGAAAATGGGCCCTAGGGGTCACTGTACTGACTTGAGGGTGATTAACAGAGAGGGCACCATCACAATACAGATAACATTAGGTTGTCCTAGAAAGGGTGTGGAGGGAGGAAGGGGGTCTAAGGTCTATCAAGTCAATCATTTCTCACTGTGTACATAATGCTTAATTTCTAAAGATAATATTACTGTTTATTTCTGTTTCTCATATGGTCTACCAGTTTGCTGATGTCCCTAGAAAACAATGCAAAACCTTTGAGGTAGACCAGGATTTCTAATCAAAAGGGAAAAGAAGATGTTGAAGAATACAGTTAGGCACCAGAAGAACAGTAGGTGACACTATAGTTTAAAACACATTGCCTAACTACTAGTTTTTACTTTTATTTGCAACATTTACAGTCCTTCAAAATCCTTCCAAAGAATTCTTATACACATTGGGGCCTTGGAGCTTACATAGTTTTAAACTCATTTTTGCCATACATCAGTTATTCATTCTGTGATCATTTATTTTAAGCACTCTTAAAGCAAAAAATGAATGTCTAAAATTGTTTTTTGTTGTACCTGCTTTGACTGATGCTGAGATTCTTCAGGCTTCCTGCAATTTTCTAAGCAATTTCTTGCTCTATCTCTCAAAACTTGGTATTTTTCAGAGATTTATATAAATGTAAAAATAATAATTTTTATATTTAATTATTAACTACATTTATGAGTAACTATTATTATAGGTAATCAATGAATATTGAAGTTTCAGCTTAAAATAAACAGTTGTGAACCAAGATCTATAAAGCGATATACAGATGAAAATTTGAGACTATTTAAACTTATAAATCATATTGATGAAAAGATTTAAGCACAAACTTTAGGGTAAAAATTGCCATTGGACAGTTGTCTAGAGATATATATACTTGTGGTTTTCAAATTGGACTTTCAAAATTAAATCTGTCCCTGAGAGTGTCTCTGATAAAAGGGCAAATCTGCACCTATGTAGCTCTGCATCTCCTGTCTTTTCAGGTTTGTCATCAGATGGAAATATTTTGATAATAAATTGAAATTGTGAACTCATTGCTCCCTAAGACTGTGACAACTGTCTAACTTTAGAAGTGCATTTCTGAATAGAAATGGGAGGCCTCTGATGGACCTTCTAGAATTATAAGTCACAAAGAGTTCTGGAAAAGAACTGTTTACTGCTTGATAGGAATTCATCTTTTGAGGCTTCTGTTCCTCTCTTTTCCTGTTGTATTGACTATTTTCGTTCATTACTTGATTAAGATTTTACAAAAGAGGAGCACTTCCAAAATTCTTATTTTTCCTAACAAAAGATGAAAGCAGGGAATTTCTATCTAAATGATGAGTATTAGTTCCCTGTCTCTTGAAAAATGCCCATTTGCCTTTAAAAAAAAAAGTTACAGAAATACTATAACATATGTACATAAATTGCATAAAGCATAAGTATACAGTTCAATAAACTTAACTTTAACTGAACAATGGCCCTGTAGCCAGCACCTGTAAGAAACAGAGCAGTACCAGCGCTCTAAAAGCACCTCCTTGTCACTTTATTACTCCCAGAACAACAACTATCCTGACTTCTAATATCATTCACTAGCTTTGCCTGGTTTTGTCTTTTATGCAGATAGAATCAATCAGTATGTATTCTTTTGTGCCTGGCTTCTTTCTCTCAGCCTTACATTTGTGAGATTCCTCTGTATTGTGCTGATTGTGGATCTTTTCATTCTCATTGCAGAATAATGTTCTATTGTGGGACTTATTACAATTTGTTCATCCTATTGTTGATGGGCACTTGAGAACTTTCCATTTTGGCGCTATTACAAATAGTGCAACTATGAATGTACTGCATGTTACCATCTTACTTGAGCCTTTAATGGACTTATTTCTTCAAATCCTTCCAAAAATTATTATAAGCATTGAAATTATAGTTTCAAGCCAACTGTGGATACCCTTACCCTTTCCTCCTTTATCACAACCACCGTTACAAGTATACTTATATTTCCCTAAAATACATTTAAAACTTACCTAAGTGACATTTGTAGTTGGAGTAATAGGAGCTTCCAGCTCTAATAAAACAGCTGTCTCTAACTTATTTTATTTCCATCATGTCAGAGCAGGTGAAGAGCCAGAAGTGAAGAGTGACTAGTACAAATTATAAAAAGCCACTAGACTCTTCACTGTTAGCTTTTTAAAACATTAGGCTCCCATCCCTATGGAGGAACAACTCTCCAGTGCCTGGATCCCCTCTGTCTACAAATATAAGATTTTCTGGGCCTAAAGGATAGATCAAAGTCAAAAATAGCAATGCCTCCCTATCCCTCACACATCCAGACATCATGAATTTTACATGGTACTCTTGTTGAGTTCTGTAGAGCCTTCTGATGTCTCTAAAGCACTACCGATTCTTTGGAGTTGTCACATCAGATAAGACATATCTCTAATTCCATCCATAAATCCAGTTCTACTATGGCTGAGTTCTGGTCAAAGAAAGAAAGTTTAGAAGCTGAGACACAAAGGGTTGGGAGCTGATGAAACTCACAAATGATGGTAGGAAGAAGCTCTCGACAATACCCGTTGGCAAGGAGTCTGCCTCCATGCTGCAGTGTTCGAGTGGATTGTAGGTGCAAGATGGAAAGGATTGTAGGTGCAAGCTGTCCAGAGAAAAGAGTCCTTGTTCCAGCCCTATTCTGCCACTCCTGACAGGGTGACCTTGGGTATTTGCAATATTCCTTTGGGCCTCTGCTTCTCTCACCTAAAAAAAGAGAATTAGATTATATTGGTGGTTCTCAGCAAGAGAAGGAGTATGTGTCCAATGCTGCCTTCCCATGAATCTGTCTCCCAGTTATGAATCAGTGGGCAGGATAAACTGAAAACTCCCATTTACGTGTCTGAATCGAGTGAGACAAAATTTTAGTCCAAATAACAAGTACCAAAGTTTTATCAAGTTTGGGTCTGTGCTGCTGTTACTGTTAACCATTTAAGTGGGGCAAAACCTTGCTAATTTTCTCAAAAGCATTTATCATTCTTGTTGCCACAGCTGGAGCTCTCAAACTAAAAGACATTTGTTATTTTGGAAAGAAGAAAGACTCTATTCTCAAAGTTTCCTAATCAGAAATTTTTATCAGTTTCCAGTCTCAAAAATACAAAATAAAAACAAACGTTTTTAATACTATTGCTTTTATGCCTAGTCAACTCTGTTCCAAACTGCCAACTCCTGTGTAAATCTCTACCCCATTTATTTCTTGAAAAATATTAAGATTAAATGGAGCTTTTATCTCTGTAGTCTTGCATTTCCCACTAGCTTCAAATTGAATTTTTAGAAAATGAATGATATAAGCTTTGTATCCATTATGTCCTTGTTTTCCCCACCCTTTTTCAAAGATCACCATGACTTTCTGATTGGATTTTTTTTCAAAAGTGAAATGGCCATCAAATGTTATATGGAGTCACTAGCATAATCAGATGACTTAGGCAAAAGCCAAAAGTAAGTGTCTTTATCCACAGTCTCTAGTCTGAAGAAGTTGACCATTTGGTTGGTCAAGTGGACAGAGGAGTCACATCTGACTGGTGGTCAAACTGGCACATGTTTATCGCATTCTAATCTTTTATCTAACAATGGTTTCTTAATTTCTGCTTCTTTGTATTTTGCATTTCCTCTAAAACAGTGAGAAACACTACTTTCACTTTCAACCTCATAGACAAAATGTTGTGCTTCTATTTTGCTTGACAAAACAGATCTTCTCAGTTGTACAAAGGAAGTCTGGCAGAAAAATAATCATTGGCTCTTGCCAGAAATAATGATGAGTTTCCAACTTGGGGAAGTATAGAAAGACTGGAAAGACTAATATTTATGATAAATGTTTATACTCTGGATTTTCCTTCTACCCAGAAACTGACAATTTTGCGGGTATTAGGCATATTAGCATCCCATTTCACTCTTATAAATACACTTGATAGAATCTCCAATCTGACATTTATGCTATATCCAGGAAGACAAATGGAGCCAAGTATCTGTATTATCGTTTTACCTTGGTGTAAATCCTTCTTACATGCTATGAATGCTCTATGTCCTCTGACATACTGCATCAAAGATGTAATGCTAAGACGTATGGCAGCTTTATAACACCAAAGAAATAGGGATTCAAACACTAACTAGGGCTGGGTGCAGTGCCTCACACCTGTAATCCCAGCACTTTGGGAGTCTGAGGCAGGAAGATTGCTTGAGCCCAGGAGTTCAAGACCAGCATGGGTAACACAAGGAAACCCCATCTCTACAAAAAGTAAAATACAAAATTAGCCAGGCATAGTGGCACATGCCTGTGACCCCAGCTACTCGAGAGGCTGAGGTGGAAGGATCGCTTAAGCCCAGGAGGTCAAAGCTGCAATGAGCCATGATTATGCCACTGCACTCTAGCCTAGGCAACAGAGCAAGACTGTCTCAAAAAAAAAACAAAAAATAAACAGAAAACCTGACCAGCAGAAAATATTTAGATGTAGTAAATGAAAATAGAAAAAGGACACAATGTTGAGTATGCATTATCATATCAACTATGTTAAAATATTATTCCATAGAAAAAGAGTTGGAAGAATATATGGCAAAAATTAACCAGGGCTATCTCTGGGTGGTAGTATTATAAGCAGTTCTTATTTTCCTTTTTTGGTTTTCTACATTTTAAGTTTTTCTGTGATAGGAAAATGTTACTCTTAAAAAGTCATTTTAAAAATATTATTTGGAAAGAAAAAGAAAAGGAATATGAAAGGGAGGGGAGTGAGGGGGAAATTGACCCAAAAAGAAAAATATAATTTCCCTAAATAAAAGGGTTGTTAATTCTTTTTAGGACCTATTCAATTTGATGTCTCAGGCAACTTAGACCCAAGGAACCTGGTGAAGTAGATTTTGGTCAAGAGCTTGCTGCCTCCAGGACAGGCCAGATCTGTTTATAAAGTAACTTTGACACACACTGTATAACACAGAATGGAGGAAGTTGCTGGACCTTCCTCTGGTACTTAAAGTGCTTCTGTGAGAACAAAGCATGTAATCTAGAGGAGGTTTTGGGCTTTTTCCTGAAAATGCTAAAAGGTTGACTGACCCAGCCACACTCTCCCACCTGGTCCTCCGCACCTCCCCAACCCGCCCCAAACCCCAGCATTTGCCAAACCCTGACCCAGATGAGGATACAGTGTATGGCTGTGAAAGACAAACCAGTAGATTATGTGGTAATTAGATCTAAATGCTTCACCTGGTAGGCACCACAATTCACCTTGTGGTCAGATGCTAAAATTTAGAGGTTGAATAGGGAGGAAAGAGCAGGATACAGCTAATCCCAGGTGACTCACTGCTTAAATATGCTTAAATTTGGTAAGACTTTAGTTGCAAATGTGAAAGTCAGAATCACTCTAAGTAAGCCAAAACTAGAGATTTTTTTGACCTGCCTTACCAAATATGGGGTGAGTGTGAATAACTGGGCCTTCTTTCCCTGTCTACTTTATTGTTGCAGACTTGCTTTCTCTAAAGTCAAGTCATGATGGTCAGCCACACTCAGGCTCAGAGATTCTCCATTTCCTCTCCAAGAGAAGGATAGATTTCTTATCACAATACACATTTGACAAATCCTAGAGAAAAACCGATTGGCTTATTTTAGAAACATGCCCGCCCCTGTGGATAATGCATGAGGAATTGGGGAGGTTGTAGAATTATGATCTTTCATCTCCTATGGAGCCAAAGAAGGACAATTTCTCAAAAGAAGAAAAGCACCATTCCTAGAAGAAGAAGGAAAAGAAAAAGACATTCAAAACACCAGTAATTACCAGATGATTCTCAAAAGCTTCACAAAACATTTCGGGTTGGATTATATTGTGCATATTACTCTTAGAATAAATGTTATCTTAATTTTCATTTTGATCAAAAAGAAGACATTATATAGTTTAGTTAGATTTAATATTTAAGAAAATGAAGTTATTAATAAAGAAGGATGGGAAGGAAGAACAATGATACTTACTATTTATTGTGAGCCGGGCACATAATTTAAGTTGTTTGCATAAAGTGTTCATTTAATATAGCTAACCTGTGAGGTTAATATTAGTACTCCCATTTCTTTCCTTTTTTTTCTTTTTTTTTTTTTTTTTTGAGACGGAGATTTGCTCTTTCCCCCAGGCTGGAGTGCAGTGGCATGATCTCGGCTCACTACAACCTCTGCCTTCCAGTTTCAAGCAATTCTCCTGCCTCAGCCTCCCGAGTAGCTGGGATTACAGGCACCTACCATCACACCTGGCTAATTTTTGTATTTTTAGTAGAGGCAGGGTTTCACCATGTTGGCCAGGCTGGTCTTGAATTCCTGACCTCGTGATCCCAAAGTTCTGGGATTACAGGTGTGAGCCACTCTGCCCAGCCAGTACCCCCATTTCATGGATGGTGAATTTAAGTTTCAGAGAGTGTAACTGACTTATCCAGATTCACACAGAAAATGACAAGACCAGGGACTAAACCAAGTTATATTGAAGTGCAAAGTCTATGTAAATTTACTATCAAATCTGTACCTCACTATAAAATGCACTTAATCCTATCAAAATCAACTCATTGGCTGGGCAAGGTGGCTCATGCTTGTAATCCCAGCACTTTGGGAGGCCGAGGCAGGAGGATCACAAGGTCAGGAGATCAAGACCATCCTGGCTAACATGGTGAAACCCCATCTCTACTAAAAACACAAAAAATTAGCTGGGCATGGCAGCCATCACCTGTAGTCCCAGCTACTTGGGAGGCTGAGGCAGGAGAATGGCATGAACCCAGGAGGCGGAGCTTGCAGTGAGCCGAGATTGTGCCACTGCATTCCAGCCTGGGTGGCAGAGCGAGACTCCATCTCACAAAAAAAAAAAATCTACTTATTATTTATAGCTAATAATTCCCAAAACATATATCTTTTTAGAAAAATGAATGAAATGAAAAGTAGTATATTACTTATATGTCTCCTATTTTAAAAGAAATAATACACATTATCAAGTATTTTAAGTAATTCTATCAATAAACATTTATTAATCATCTGATACGTTCAAGATACTATATTGGAAACACAAAGTTAGAAAAGAAAAGCAAGATAAAGCAATATTGTTTAGCCAGTACTGTACTTCTCTAATACATGTGTTCACTTATTCACTGGTGAAACATTGAGCATTATTTATGTGTGGTGCACTATACCAGATCCATTAGAAGATAAATGAAAACAATTGTCCTTTTAATATAGTAGAGACATGAAAAATGTACACAAACATATTACACAGCTAAACATGACATGCCAAGAGATATAGAGAAAACAAAATTTGAAAATTGAGGAGAATTTCCTTTCCTATCATGGTAAAGACATCCTGGATGGGATAGAATGTAATTTGCATTTGACAATATGGCTGGGATTTTGGCAATTAAATCAGGACATAAGGAAATATTTTGGCCTAAAGGTATCTCACATGCAAAATTAGATAACAAAATAGTAAGAACCCCATAATTACTCTGTAGCAATGCTAAATCTGAAAGAACATAGCAGTGGGACGTATGCACTCTGAATCTGTTGACACAGTTATTCATTATTTACAGTTGCCTTTTTGATGCCTGTACCAAGAAAAGCCTTCCTTATGTATTTGAACATCTTATGCTACTCTCAAAGTTTATTCATGATGTGAAAAATGCCTTAAGCATTTCTTGGCATTTTGCTAGAAGCGTGATAGGATAACATTTCATCCTATTCCCAAGAATGTAGAACTCTGCTTTTATTTCAGCCCTGTTGCTAATTCATTGCACTGAGCAAATAACTAACTTCTCTGCATTTCTATTGTCTCAGAATTAAAATCATAGTTAGGATCAAGGCCTTGTGAAAATCAGAAGGCAGACAGGCAGAATTTTGCAAACCACACTTCTGGAGAATGGTGAGAGATATCAGAGTGCCCAGGAACTAGAGAACAGTGTTGTGAAACTTCTGAATCCAGAGAGAGTCAGATAGACCTAGGGACACAGAAAGTCAAAGCAAAGACCCTCCAAATGTCTATAAGCATTTGGCTCCTCAATTTCCTCCTCTGCAAAATGGTCATAATCACTTGCACCTCTCTGGGAAGGGTACTGTACCAGTTGCCAATAAATTATATTTGCAACTGCATTAAAATTTAAGACTTTTATTCTTACCTCTGACTTTTCCCCAGCATTAATTAAGCTCTATGGATCTTTAAAAATCAGGGCTTTGGGCTAAAAGACCAGGATTTTATTTTTTGTTTTTTTACCATATTACCTTTCATGTTGCTTTCAGTGAATCACTTGCTTGATCCCTTTTGAATCATTTTTCTCACTAGACACTCTTGAAACAGAAAAGGCACAAAAAGTGCAATCCTTTAAATAGTAAGAGATTTCTTCAAAAGTTGAAAGAGCAAAAGCAGGAACATACTCAAAACAAAATTGAAGTGGTTTTTGTTTTCTTTTGTTGTTTTTGTTATTGTTGTTTGTTTTTGTTTTTGAGACAGAGTCTTGCTCTTTCACCCAGGCTGGAGTGCAGTGTTGCGATCTTGGCTCACAGCAACCTCTGCCTCCCAGGTTCAAGCAATTCTTCTGCCTCACCCTCAGCTGGGATTACAGGTGTGCACCATCACGCCCGGTAATTTCTGTATTTTTAGTAGAGACAGGTTTTCACTATGTTGGCCAAGCTGGTTCTCAAACTCCTGACCTCAAGTGATCTGCCCACCTCGGCCTCCCAAAGTGCTGGGATTACAGGTGTAAGCCAAGCGCCCGGTCCAAAATTGAAGTTTTGTGCAAGATGATAATTTTGGGGAAAACAGTTTATAGCATTATGCAGATATCTTCACTTTGCTCAGAAAATGTCATTGGCCCGGAGACCTCAGGAAAGCTATTTAACGCCTCTGAAACTTAGTTTGCTCAGAAAGGAACTATTAAAACGTAAACACATTTTTGCCATTTAGGTGTGTTGTAGGCAGAATAATGGTCCCCCAAGGATGTTCATATGCTAATTCCCAAAAGTTATGAATATGTCAGAGTATATTGCAAAGGGGAACTAAAGGTTGCAGATGGAATAAAGGTTGCTAATCAGCTGGCATTAAGAAGATGAGAGTAGGCTGGATTACGCAGGTGGATAATAACCCAATGTAATAAGGGTTCTTCAAAGCGGAAGAGGTAAGCGAAAGAGAAAGTCAGAGTGACGTGATGTGAGGAGGGCTTGACCTGCTCTTGCTGATTTTGAGGATGGAAAAGAAGGGTCACAGGCCAAGGAATAAAGGCAGCTTCTAGAGGCTGAAAAAGGCAAGGAAATTGATTCTCTTCTGGAGCCCACAGAAAGGACCACAGTCCTTCTGACACCATTGTTTGGCTGAGTGAGACCATGTCAGATTTCTGACCTACGGAACTGTAAGATAAGTTTGTGTTGTTTGGGGACCACTAAGTTTATGGTAATTTGTTATAGCAGCTATAGAAAACACATAGAATAAGTAATTATTTAGCAAATAATACTTCGGAATTATTTAAACCTTTTGAAAAGAATTCTAATCTCAGATATTCCAGTGGTAAAGTATGTGCAACTATAAAAATTTCATCTCAAACTACTTACTATTCTTCACTTACCTGTTTTTAAATGGTGACTTTAGGGATACAACATCAATTTGAGATAACTAGAGATGAGTTGGTATTATTTTAAACTAAAATTAGTGATCATAATTGATTCACTCATGCAAAGACTAAAACATTGGCCTTTATAAAATAAACATAATTCATCATACAGAGGTTAGGTATTTGGCAATTAACAAGCCTTGCCTCTCACCCGCCTTTCATCACAGCATGCAAACTAACTAACCACTGAGAGGACCTTCCCTGTATAAGCACTAATATGTCAGGAAAACATTTATGGCTTTATCCACTAAAGTAGCTAAAATATAAATTGTTTAGGCAACGCTTTGAGAAAATAGAAACTCGGGACCGTAGAAATACAAATCATAAGGCAGCCTTCAGATTTTACTGCACTTGGCACACTGCATTTTCCTGAAAGTTATGTATTATTTTTACCTTAGGCAAGCTAATAATGAATTGCTCTGTTCTAAGGAACTTCTGCACTTCAGCTTTAAAGAGCATGTCATTAAAAATATATATTCCAAATGCTTAAGCATTATGAATAAAGAAGGATGGTCACACTGGCAAGTGTGTGCTGTCCTTGGTAACAACATAAAGAATATTGCTGGTTTTTAAGTGTACAGCATCTATAAGTTCTATATTTACATTGCTCAGGGCTTCCTCAACCTTTGAGTTCTATAGATAGCAAAGTACATGAAAAAAGCCCAGCCCACAATGTGCTGGAGCCAGCCTCAACAGTTCATGAGAGCTGATTGTTAAATTTTCAGAAATCCCATGAGCTAGCTGATGTCATACTGGTAGCTTGAAATCAGCCAACACTAGAAGTCAGGTTAGGTTGGCTTATTTTTCCTGGAGAATCAACTGTTCAGCATTTGCACTTTACAAAGGCAATTTACAGTCCAGGAAGTGAAACCAGGGCCATCATCTAAAGCATATACAATCTATGGGACTTCTTACCTTAGTTAAAGTAGACTTGCATATTTGTAGCTTTTCAGACAGATGGCTATAATTTTCTTATTCTTATAGAATTGGTATGCTAAAGGAACCTTCCAACAGATGAAAGTCAAGTATCTTGAGGAAGAAGTGCCTTTTTCTACTTCACACAATGGCAATATGTGTGCTAATGCTAACCTGAGGGGTTAACCTAAGTCAGTGCTAGAGACTGAATGTTTATGTCCCCTAAATTCATGTGAAACCTAATTCCTAAAGAGGCAATATTATAAGGTGGCACCTTTGGGAGGTGATTACATCAAGAGAGTGGAACCTCCATGTTTGAGATTAGTGTCCTAGTAAAAGAGACCCCAGAGAGATCCCTGGCCCTTTCTGCCATATGGGGAAACAGTGAAAAGACAGCCATCCATGAATCAGGATGAAGGCCCTCACCAGACACTGAATCTACTGGTGCTGTGATCTTGGACTTTCCAGCCTCCAGAACTGTGAGAAATTTCTGTTGTTTCTAAGCTACTTAATCTACAATTTTCTATAGTAGTAGCCTGAACTGACTTAAGATTATCAGAATAAATAGAATATGATATAGGATTCAATAATGATCAAAGTGATGGAGGAATCAAATGAAGAAATTACATTTACCTATGAATATTTGCAAAGTCTTTAGTAAAATGTGTCATTGAGGTAGGTTTTAAAGATGGAGAGATTTTTTTTTTCCCCAAGAGTGAATGGTAGGATGGGAATTCCAAGAGAAGAATACAACCTGAATCAACATTCGTAATTGGGACAGTTCTTCGAGTCAGTTGGGTTATCTCAAACTAACCAGACAAAAGAGTTATTTTTCAAGGTAGTTCAGAGCCAAACTGGGGGCATCTAGAATTCAAACTAAGAAGTTTTAATTTTGGAAGTGCATTTGAAATTTTAAAGCCATATTTTCTGCCAAAAAGAGGATTGTGCTAACATGAAAATAGAGACCTGGTAGACAACACAAAAGCAGACTTCATGTCTGTTTTTTACCATTGAAACTTCAGGGCTTGTTACAGCACCAGGCATATTTTAGCACTCTTTCTTTTTTTCTGTTTGGGAACTAAAAGGTGAGTTTATGCTATTGTCCTTAATTATTCTACCACAAAACACACCTGTTGAAATATCTTCAGCATATCCAACTAAGCCAACCCCCGAACCATCTCTTGAGTCATTTTATAAAACGATGTTTGTATCCTTTCCTCTGGTAAAACATCTTGCCAGATTAAAATGCTAAGAAACAAAATTAATGATAAGAAGAACATAATTAGAAAAATTGTTGACAAAAGGCTAGAACACGAGAAACTTGCTTAATTGTATGATTCTCATTCTGTCACGGAGCTGTGAATCAGCAGCAGCAAATGGTACTCAAAGTGAGATCAAGGCAGAAAAGAAACTGTAGTTGAATGAAATGAGATACTTTAGTGAAGAGGCCCATTTTATTTCAGCCTCAAGATTGCCTGTTCCTGAATAGAAAGGGTGCTACACTGGCACCCTTCCCTCTTCTGGGAATCCTGGCAAATCAATGACAGGACAAGTATGGTGGGGCAGTAAGGTAACTGGCTTGAATCTCTACCTGATGAGGGCTCAAGCACTAGAGGGAACAGATCAAGAGCACTAACTGTGAGGTCCGTATATATAAAACAATAAACAGAGATGGTAGAGAAAGTGTCACAGTAAATGTCAAACAGTCTGTCTTAACTCGCATCATCATGTAGAGACAAATTCCAGGCCCTCTTAAGCTTCTCTCAAATATTTCTGAGAGTCCTACATGGCCCACACGTAAGTCCCATATACAACCAGGTTTAGGACCCTTGACTGCTAAAGAATTCCCTGCTCCCCAGCTCCAGTCTTCTACAAAGATTTCCTCTGTTAATGCCAATTCCTAATGCAGCAGCTATGCTCCAGTGTCCACAAAGGGGGCTACTGCTGCCAATCCACACCAAAGGGACAGCCACAGCTACCTACCCCTAGTAACATATCTCTGAGCATGCTGATGCCAGACATTGATGGCATTGTCATCTGACCCAAGGGCACTATCTCTTGTTACTGCCAAAGATTGCAGCATAGAATCTTTCCATTGCATCAACTACTAGATGATTGAAAGCTCATGTTCCCACATCTGACAGATTTTTATGGGGGGAGGGGAACATATCTCTGTCTATCATGTTTATTTGCCTGTTTGCTGACTTCTTCACGTGGGACTCAAATTTGAACTTATGGTGGCATTCCAAGTGACAGATAATGCAGTGAGCTTAGAATCTTTTCCTTCCCAAACCAAACTTTTGAATTTCAACTCACTTCCCTTAGGTTAAATTATCTCCTATGAGGCTCCTCACTTCATTCTAAAATTCCTATTGAGATGCCTCAGCCCCTAGACAGGGCTGATACTCAGCTGGTATGTGCCTAGGTAAGTGTGCCATCCATCCACAGCTGGCACCCATTCTGATTGACTGGTGTTAAATATTCTGGCTAGTCCCTTATCTCCAGGCCTACCTCAGCCCTAGGGTAAACACAGTGGAGGCTCACAGAACGGTACTTTTAAAAATATCAAAGGAAAATGTTTTCCATGCCTTAGTTTCTTAATAGTGGGAAAAATATAAGATTGCTACATCATATTAAAGGTATTGACTGTTATTTGAGGAGATGTCAGTGCTTCTCACTTACAGATGAATACACTGCAGCGTAGTACAGAATATGACAAAACAGATTCCTTCTGATACTGAAGCATAACCTAAAGGTCCCAAAGTGGTTTGTCAGGTAAAAAACTACTAATTGTGTCTCAGCATCCATTCTCTTCTTTTTTTCTTCATCACAGAATTCCCCAGTTTTATCTGAGCACATAGCCAACCTGGCTAGAGACTACATTTTCCAGCCAGGAGTGGACATGTGATTAGAATATGAGATGAAGCTATATATACTACCTGGGTCACATCATTTAGAAATGAAGTTGCCGGAACTGCAAGGTGCAGTCTGGACTTGACAAATGTGGGGCTGATGAGGCAGCCTCAAGCTGGGATGGTAAAGTAACAGGATAGAAAAAACCTGGGTCACTGGTCACTCTCACTGTTGACGTATTCTGGACTGTTGAGAGAGAAACAAACTCCTATCTTGTATGAGTTTGACTTGTTAACTTTGAGTTTTTTTGTTTTTGTTTTTTTGATGGAGAAGGAATGTCTCTTTGTTACAGCAACTTAGTCTGTGTGCTGACAAATGCAAACAACTATCAGTCTCTGGAAGAAATAAACAAATGTTTGAATATGTGTATAGGAGTGACCAGAGAAATGCATGATAGAACACCAGGGACTGTGTAGTCAACATGGAAATAATATCTATTGGGAAGAAAAACTGTAGGCCTAAACTTTAGATTTAGATGCTAAAAGCTACATGACAGTCTGGAAATCTACCCCATTCGGGGTTTAAAGACAAAATAGAATTATGTTAAAGTCATTTCTTAATGATGTCCTCTATAGCCACTTCTCTCATATGACCTTCCAGCCAATCATAGGAAAATGAATGAATGAGTTAAATGTTTAAAGTTGTTGGATTTGTTGGGGGCAATTAATACTGGCTACTAAAACACACACTCCCAAAATTTAAAAACAAAATAAAAGTTTTGTTCTCCCTCACACAAAGTCCTATGTAACTAGGCAGGTTTCCTGGAAGGTTCTTCTCTAACCTGTGACTCCACTTTCTGGGCTCCTTCTAGTTTTTTTGTTTTTAAAACAGGATCTTGCTCTGTTACCCAAGCTGGAGTGCAGTGGCATGATCACGGCTCACTGCAGCCTCGACATCCAGGGCTCAAGCAATCCTCCTACCTAACCCCCAAGTAGCTGGGACCCAGGCATGTGCCACCACACCTGGGTAATTTTTAATTTTTTGTAGAGACAGTTTTCCCTATGTTACCTAGGCTGGTCTGGAACTCCTGAGCTCAAACAATCCTCCTGCGTTGGCCTCCCAGAATGCTGGGATTACAGGTGTGAGCCACTGTGCCCACCTTCTAGTATTTTTACTTACCAACTTGAAATTATTTTCTTCCCAACACGTCACTGGAGGGGGGCGGTAGAGAGGGAGCCTGGGGAAGACACGGAGCACATTGAGCCTGGACCTAGAAGCGAGGGCCCAAATTTTCACATGCACTTCATTGATCAGAATTAGTCACATTCAAGACTGGGAAAGGTAGGGAGTTCATAAATATTCATATATGTTCTGTCTCTTCCACAGCAGTTATTTTGACTGCTCTAAAAAGCAACATCCTTAAACATTGGTTGTAATTTATTGTCCTTCTAACTGCTGCTCTCTGCACTTCTGCACTGCAGTTCTGTAACTGCTGCTCTCTGCGGTTAAGTACGCCCTTAAGTGTAGTGTCTAACATATGCCAGAGTTAGGAAGGATCCAGAACAGTCCTCATTCTGCAATGTTAGTCCTAATTTTATGGGAATTAAGAGATTAAAATTTATTTTCTCATTTCATTTGAGATCCTTGGTGAAATGCTGAAATTGCATTCTTAGTTCCAACGCAGAGTTTAGTTGGCCTTATCAAGATATAGCTATAAACTGTTGTGTGATGGGCCAGGAGATGGATGTGTGCACTCACTCAGGCTGTGTCCTTAACTGGCTGAGCAGATTTGGGAGAGTCACCCTCTCTGGACTCCATGTCCTCATCTGGGAGCCAATAAGCAAGCAAAACACTGAAACTGGAGAGGATGGTGTGGAACTAGGTGATTACTGAGGTGTCTGTTCCACTTAATATTCAGTGGATCTCTAATTTAAAATTTTATGTCTTAGAAACCAGGGCTTTTGAAGAGCTTCCTAGACCTTGTGCATTTTCACTTTTAGATGCTCTATTCCTATTTCATACTAAACATTGAAATGTACACAGATCCCACATGAAATATGGTTTATGTATAACTATACAAAAGTTTTCATATGTTGGAGGCAATAACCTTTTCAAGTCTAAACTTTTTTACTGATGTTAACACTGTGCCTAGAGGGCTTAATGATACATTGATCCTCCAAAGAACCATTCTCCAGATTCTCACAAAATGGGTTTCAGTACAGCTCAGTGTGTTCCACAGTGCAGAACTCCTACAAAATGGAACAGATGTTAAAACACTTTATCCCTAAGAAACAGTGACCACACAAGTCACTACCCTCACTTGGGAAAACAAGAGAGGCTAGAACAAGTATTGGCAGAAAGGCCAACCTAATGTGACAAATAGACCCAAAGCTATTTGAGCAATGTGGGCCCACAGCCTGATGGCTTGTACACACTCTCAGAACATGACTGTGGAGAAACTGGGTGTATTTAAAACAGTTTAAAGATTTGCAAGGAAATTTTATATTGTGTGGGAACATTATTTACAGTAGTTGAGCTGCAAGAAAATGGGGAACAGATACCGTAAAAATTAAAAATTACACGGGTTATTAGCCTAAATGGTCTCTGACCTGAACAAATTCAGCAGGCTGAATGCTTTCTACCAAAGATTAGGCAGCTTGCTCAATCAATATGCCACGCTACCCTTCCCGGAGAGAATTGTTGCTAATGTGTAGATTGGCTGTATTACCCAGAAGGGCAATCCAGCTGGAGACATTGCTGAGGGACCTGTGAAAAGAGCAACACTTCTTCAAAAGGACTTTCTCTCCAGGGACCTTCTGCCTCTGAGCTGAGAGCAGGAAAATCATGGCCTGTAAAGCTGCCTCAGCCTAGCCATGCAAGTACCCGCTTACACTCTTCCCTTCCTAGGATTCTATCTCTTCCCTGATGAGTCATCTTGGGGGTCAGTGCAGATAATCTGAACTGATGAAGACTTTGACAATCCAAGAAATTCTTGTTAATAGGCTTAGTGACATGCAATGTCAAAATAAGATCACATTTGTGGCCATGCAGTCTTCCAAAATGTCTATCAACACTGGTTAATCTGGTGGCTAATAGGCTTATGTATCACTTAGGTCTTCAAAAGGAAGATAGAGACTGCTTCTTTCTTGACACTAATAAAACTGGGTATTTGTGCAATAAGTGCCTGCAAGATACCAGCTTTATTAAGAAATATAAAACAGACATAATAATCCCTTTGTTTGTTTGAATGCCTGTGACTTATGAACCTTGAAGAACAAACTTAGAATTACTTGACATTCCCAGCTTTGAACATTGAGATGACTTTTTTTTTTTAATTCTAAGATCATAAATAAACTTGTCATATAAGGCCAGTATTAAAATTTAGTGAAAAATATTTAAAAACCATGGCTTATTCTGAAATCAACTGAATTTGGCAAGTATCTCACTAATTACAAACCTTTTGTAATTTGGAGTTAGGCCAAGCCATTAAGATAGTCTATACAAAACAGTCCAGGCTAATAATGGAGTAACCCAAAAATTAAGATGAACCCAAAAAGAGGAGACCAGCTGCCTAACCCGGAAGTTAATAAAAACTGAAATCAAATGGTAAGAATAGCCAGTGGAATGGTCGAAGCACGTCAAGATGACTATTTACAGACAAAGAAGGAACCCTGCAAAAAAGGGAAAGAATTCAAGTTTCCTGAGCTAATGAAGTCTATTTCAAACAATTCAAGTATAAATCATAGAAAATCTCATTTAAAACCAACATTTAACTTTAATTTGATGGAGGTAGGTAAAAGTAGAAAATCTATGCCCCATTTGTAAGCATACATGGAAAAATTGACAATTAAGAATGTAAATAATCATTTATTATTTTTTTTTTACTAACAACTTCAAAAGGAAAGAAAAGAGAATTGGAAGTAAGGAGATCAGTCCTGAAAAAAACCATGACCTTGAGCAAGTTATTCATCTTCACATGCTTCCATTTCTCATCTAAGTTGAGGGACTTGGACTAGATGATGTTTATAATCTGTTCCAGCTCCAACATTGTTTTTCATGAAAACACTTTTGAAGTCTCAGCATGACTAAATAAAGGGAGTGATACGTTACTGTGAAGAATAAGAACAAGAGCCTGAGGGGAGCACATGCTTGCCTTATTTCTTACCATTGAATTAGGTCCATCATGCCTAAATTCAATGCTCTCTCCTAATTTCCGTAACAGGGCATTGTTACTTGTGCCTGCTAAACAACATGGCTGCCTTCAGGATATTGTACAAACTCCCCTACTCATTTTTCAATGTGCTCTGCTTTGAGGTGTATTTTTCATGGGATACCCACAACAAAAATATTTACCTTTGCCTTATCACAATAATCATGGTTTATTTTTTTTCTCCATCGGGACCAGTTCTAAGGCATTTAATGAAGTGGGTCCTTGGAGCCTTCCCTCTTTGCCCATAGCTTTGATAGCATCCTTTCCTCAAGTTCCCTACCTTTGGCTTCCCCAGCCCTCACATCCAGGAACCTACCTGTGGGGGCAGTTCTCCACATACAGAAGCACAGGCTTCCCAAGGGAGGAAAAGACAAGCTTTTCAAGGGCAGACACCCACACTGATCGCAATGCCTGGCACAGGATAGGAGCTTAATAAATACTAAGTAAACGATTCAAAGCATTTTGGACCTAACAACTCTGATCTCATATTTTCTCAAGACTATTCACTTATCTAATAAACAGCCCCACCCCTCGAGAGCCATTGGATGCTCATATGTTCATGTCACAGTCTCCTAGGTCAGAGGAAAGCATTTGAAAAGGAACTGCTGAGACCAAATGCTTTTACTCTAAATTCCAGGACTCAGAATAGGAAGTGGAAGAGCAATTCAGAATTCTTCAGGTTTTATAATATATATTGTCCATACTGCAACCTCATCCTTCAGTGACTTATCTTTAAAAATTACAGTATGAAGATATAAAATTTTCACTTATTTAAAGTCACTAGTATGGGCAATTTTAAGACTTAATGGACAGAATGAAGAAGAATGGAAAAAGGAGCAGAAGAAAAGGGAAGTCCTTGTTTTGAGCTCTGCTAAATTACAGATACACTTCTGGGTACTTACCTAGGGTGTCTCATTTAAGCCTCGAGCTATTAGATCTTCCCTTTACAAAGAAAACGAGGTTTGCTGAAGTTGGTTTGCTCAAACACGATTACTTAGCTGGAAAAATAGCAGAGCGAGGACTGAAATCTAGCTCTTTTGTTGTTGTTGCTATTTATCTCTTTCAAAAAAGCTTTTCCATTTGTGCTTGACTCAGGTATAACATAGCAATCAAAGGAATCACAGTAAATCTGTATTCCCACAGCTCATGAAGCATTCAGTTTCTCTCCACTAGACCTTGTACTACCCTGTCCCTTCAGGGCCTAACTCAACATTCCCAAGAAATTTCTACTTCTTATTCACCTTACTTTACACTATTGTTTGACAATAATATGCAACTGTTATGATTTAAATTGTGTCCCTCCAAAAGATGTTGAAGTCCTAACCCACAGTACTTGTGAATGTGACCATGTTTGGAAATAGAATCTTTGCAGATAAGGCGAGGTCATTAGGTAGCCCCTAATCCAGTATAACTTGTGTCATTATAAGAAGGGGAAATTTGAGGCCGGGTGCAGTGGCTCACGCCTGTAATCCCAGCACTTTGGGAGGCCGAGAGGGGGCGGACCACAAGGTCAGGAGTTCGAGACCAGCCTGACCAACATGGTGAAACACCATCTCTACTAAAAATACAAAAATTAGCTGAGCGTGGTGGCATGCACCTGTAATCCCAGCTACTTGGGAGGCTGAGGCAGAAGAATCTCTTGAACCCGGGAGACGGAGTTTGCAGTGAGCTGAGATCATGCCATTGCACTCCAGCCTAGGAGACAGAACGAGACTCCATCTCAAAAAATAAATAGAAGGGGAAATTTGGACACCAAGACAGACATGCAGGGAGAATGCCCATGTGAAGATGAAGGCAGAGACTGGGAAACCAAGTCAGGAAACACCAAAGACTGTCAGCAAACCACCAGAAGAAGCTAGGCGAGAGGCATGGAACAGATGCTTCCTCACAGCCTTGCTGACACCTTGAACTTGGACTTCTAGCTTCCAGAACCTGAGATAATTTTCTGTTGTTTAGGCCACCATGTTTGGTGTACAGCAGCCCCAGGAAATTAAGACAGCCATCATTTAGTAAACACTAAGACATGGGGCAAAAGCAAATAGCTGCAAATTACATAACACAAAATTATTCAGAAAAATAAAAAATTCAGAAGGCAAAAGTAATACAATATTTGATCGATATTTACTCTACTCTGATCACTACTGTATTTAGAAAATGAGGCCATCAGACATAAGCAAGTATTTTAATTACATGAATTGCTTACAATATAAAAGCTTTTAGTCTGATAAGTGATTTTAATGCTTCCTAGAACTGTATTTTCCAAGATTCAAGCATATGATATTGACAAATGTATTTTTAATTCACAGAGGAAATTGATATTGCTCAGAAACCGAAAGATGTTTAACTAATACAACTCAGTCATAAATTTCAGCTCAGTGCAGGCAGGTCGTGATTTTGGTGATCCAAGGAGTGAACAGTGACAGGCTTCCTAGATACCTTTTCTTAGAACCTTCAGCACTAGCCTCCAACAGCCCAATCCTGGTCATGCTTTCATATGCATTTCTAGTTTGCTTTAAAAAAGCACAAAGGGAATAGAATTCAAACAGTGTGGAAAATAAGATTGTGTTTTACTCAACCCAATTCAATTCGTTGGCAAATATTGAACTTCATTTGTGAGTTACACAGAAAATTGCCAGAGAGTTGAGATAACTGTGTTTCCACTGTGTATCACATAAGGTTAGTTGGCACCAAGAAAAGAAAAAGAGAACACGATCGTAGCTTATATAGATCAGCACATTCTGTAGGTATTTTTCATCAGTCATCAAACACCATATTTTTTCTGGCCCCAGCTCATTGGAATACATTATTCAAGAAACTATTTAAAAATTAACTGAGCAACTATTAAATTTTTATTTGTTCAACAAATACTTATTTTGCTTCTAGTGTGGGCCAGGCACTGTCCTAGGACACCATGGTAAACAGAACTGATATAATTTCTGCCCTCATAAAAACTACCCTTGAGCTCTTGTGTTTGGTACAAAGGGAGTGCTTATAAAATGTAATATTCCAACAAGAACTTTATGGTGTATTGTAACAGCCAGCCCTACATGGATCTCTCAATTGACAGTATAATATACAACACAGGATTAATGACCCAATAGTGACATTAATAATTATATCTTAGTTAAGTAAAGAAGATTATTGTTTGAAACAGACTCCTGTTGCTTTCCTGCCTGGAACCCCCTTCTTCTAGGAAGTGGCCCATTCCCCATTCGACATCCATAACTAAAGCAGAGGCAGCTATGTTTCAATGTGACCCTGCCCCCAAGACTATACACATCACCTACAATCATTGCTGATGTAACATGGATTGTGATAACTGCTAAGATTGAAGTGAAACTCAGAAGCAGCTAAAGTTTTCCTGTCCCTTGAAATCTAGAGAAGATTGACATAAATCCCTTTTTTTTTCCTTGACTAATGAGCACCTGCAGCCTTGACTTTCTGCTCTGTCAACTTCTTATTTTTAACTCTATGCCTTTTTAGTGTATATTTATTTCCACTACTTTTAAACCAAATATGCCTCTCCAAAATAAATAAAATAACTACATTTTCATGAGGCTTTTGAATGTGCGGCATACTTCACTGAAAGCTTTAGAAATACAGATGGGATGCACAATATAAGGATACAAATGCCCTGAAATTAAGTATTGACATCCCTGTTGTAAGTCTTTAAGCTGCTCTGCCGTGTTAGTCAACTATTTTTGCCCAGTCTCCTCTACCCGCTAATTTCTATTCATTTCTCATTCACAATCATTGGACCATTTATTTTGTTGCCGGAACTTTTGCTAATATGTTACTTATTTTGGGGATTATGAAGACCTTTTCCCAAACAAAGGTGATTTCTTTCCTAAGAATAATTCTGTTACCTGGTAATGAGATTTTTTTTTTTACTCCACTACAGACTATTTATCAAGTACTTTAGGAAAATATGAAAAGGAAACAGTCATGTTGAGAAGGTTTAAGTGAGGAAGCAACAGTTAATTGGGTTTTCAAGGATTAACAAGCTTCTTCAGGCTCATTCAAAAATGAGATCAGGGGTGTGCTGAGTGGAACACATAACATAAGAAAGCATAGAGCAATGTAAGAATACAGAGCAGGGGCCAGGAGCCTTAAGTGATAGTCCAGGCATCTCCCAAGTAGAACTCCAGGACAAATTGAAAAGGTGCTTTGTAGTGAGAGAGGGAGAGCTCTATAAAATGGTCTTGAAAGAAACATAGATGAATGCATAGAAGTACAGCTTTATTATGGATCCCCAAAAGTTTTTGCTCATCATGAAATGAAGAATCTTTGTTTCAAGATATCAGCTTTAGAACTTTGTATCGATTCAATGACACACGTTAGATACTTAGTATGTGATAGGCACACTGTTAAGAATTGGTGATACAAGATAAATAAATGCTCTGAAAGCTAATGTACTGGGAAGAATCTAGTGCAAAACTTCCTACCCAGGGTACTAGGAAGGATATAACACCTGTATCTGTAAATGCTTCAAGATATTGATCTCTTCAGTCTTTGGGACAACTAGGAGGAAACTGGAGTAGCCAGAATCTATATCTGTTTCCAGCCACAAGCACACCTTCTCGTTGACATCAATGTGCAATGCAAACATCTCATGCTGTGGATGCGGTTAAGAAGCACTGGCAGAGAATTATGTTGCCATTGCGCAAGTCCAGATGAGCTGAATGAGGCTGCAGCTGTGGTGATGGCAAAGCACACATGGACTTGGGAGCTACTTATGAGGCAGAATCAACAGATGTTGCTAATTGAGTTCTTGTGGGAGGTAAGGATGAAGGAGAGGACAATGGATTCAGCACGAGAGGTATTTAGAAGGAGGGGTTTCTACAATATGCCATCCATCAGGGAGGAGTAGAGAAAAGTTTGGAGAATTTAAAATGGTTGAACCTGGTTCCTGGGGGAGAGATTTTATAGCCCAGAACTGGTGAGAAGTTCTGAATTGCAATCATTTGTTTTCTTTAAACTTTTCCCTTGAACCTCCCTAAAATATGAACTGACATAGTCTTAGCAATATCTCAGAAGGGGACATCAGAATTGGAAGTTTTTGTTTGTTTGTTTGTTTTTTGGGTTTCTTTTTTTTTTTTTTTTTTTTTAAGACAGAGACTTGCTCTGTTGCCCAGGCTGGAGTGCAGTGGCGCAATCTCGGCTCACTGTAAGCTCCACCTCCTAGGTTCACACTATTATCCTGCCTCAGCCTCCCGAGTAGCTGGGACTACAGGCGCCCGCCACCATGCCCAAATTTTTGTAGTTTTAGTAGAGACGGGGTTTCACCATGTTAGCCAGGATGGTCTCGATCTTCTGACCTCGTGATCCGCCCGCCTTGTCCTGCCAAAGTGCTGGCATTACAGGCATGAGCCACCGTGCCCTGCCAGAATTGGGTTTTTTATAGGACTTTCAGGTCGAAGCTCAAGTTGTTTAAGGTGAGGGTGGGGCTTTCAAAGTGAGGAACTGATTGGGATTCAGCAGAGTCTGTGACATAATAGTTTAAGATTGGTGGGTCCAGCAAGGCAAGGGTCTTAAGACCAAACTTGATATGTAAACCGTGATAAGCAAGAATTTGCCCAGATGAGCAGATTGTTGTCTCCAATTAGTTGATATGTAGGAATTCCCTGAAACAAATAGAAAAGTTATTTATTGGTTAGAGTATTTCTTCCCAAGACAAAATTTTCCTGAAACAAACAACAAAATCATGTTGACTTAGATTGTCTATAGTTTTGTTGTCATAGACAGTCTCAGTTATCACTCTCAACTTTCTAAAAAATGTTGTTTTATGTCTACATCCAACTAGGATGAAACTTAGCTACTATGTCTAGTTACCAGAACCTCCCCATCCACCTAAGACAAGAAATCCCTCAAGTAAATCCTGAGTAAACACACCCACCTCTACTCCACTCCTGGCTGTGAACATGAATTTTTGCAGTAAGGTAATGACTAAGTGCTTTGTAAGTGATGGTGTGGACTGAAGACACAAAGGAAATTAAAGACAGCAGGTTTTTTTGTTTTGTTTTGTTTGAGATGGAGTTTTGCTCTTGCTGCCCAGGCTGGAGTGCAATGGCACGATCTCAGCTCACTGCAACTTCTGCCTCCCAGGTTGAAGCCATTCTCCTGCCTCAGCCTCCCAAGTAGCTGGGATTACAGGTGCCTGCCACCACACCCAGCTAATTTGCGATTCATTTTTCACAGAGACAAGGTTTTTCCATGTTAGCCAGGCTGGTCTTGAACTCCTGACCTCAGATGATCCACTGGCCTCAGCCTCCCAAAGTGCTGGGATTACAGGCGTAAGCCACTGTGCCCGGCCAAAGACAGCAGGTTTTAAGGGCTGTCGTTTTAACAGGTTGCAAGGCTGCTAGAGAAAATTATATAATATAGACTGCATGGTTCCCAACACCACATGAGCTCTCAAAGCTATCTGGAATCTTTCTATATTTTCTTAATAGGTTTATTTCTCATTTTCCATGAGAGGAATTTCATGCATTCTCCAGTTTCCTCATAACTCTAAATTGACTATCCCCTTTTACTCTCAGCATATGACCTTGGTTACTACTTCAAAGATAAAAGAGAATCAAGTGGATTTAGACTCAAGTTGAGTTACTGCCATCTAAGTTAAAACTTACTGTCAGGTGTGGTGACCCACACCTGTAATCCAAGCACTTTGGGAGCCCAAGGCAGGAGGATTGCTTGAGTCTAGGAGTTTGAGACCAGCCTGGGTAACTCAGTAGACCCCATCTGTATAAAAAGTAAAAACAAATAAACAGTTAAAATTTACAAGTATCTGCATTTATCCTTTTCTACTTCTCTCCTATTGAATTGGAGGAGATAGCATTCCTCCTTCTTTATCTGAAGCTTGCTTATCTCCTCAAGTGCATTGTTCTATTCATTATCTCCACACCTCCATGTATACTCCTTTTCTTCTTAATTGAATCTCTGTCTTCTGGTTATCTTTTTGCCAGTTTGCCACTTCTTTCAATTTCTTCTTCAGCTACTTAATCCTTTGACTATTTTGTAAATACTTGTCCTCCTCACAGTTCTGTCCAAAAGTGTCTTTTCTTCTTATTCTCTGTGCTCTTCTTTCATAATCTTCTCTCTATGTATGCCTTGAACTGTCAACTGGAACTCTCAACTTTATGTCATCTATATAGTTGTCTCTCTAGAGCTCTACTCTACACATTTGAACATACATGTTTAATTGGCTATTGTCCTTTCATATGAAACTCAATATGTCTAAAATGGAACCAGATACTTTTCCCTTGGAATCTGCCTCTCTTCATATCTTTGAGAATGATGCTATCATTCATGCCATTACACCCAGTACCTGGCTGTCTTTTTTACTCCTTTTCTGTCATCAATTCCCGTATTCAGTCAATCACTAAATTCTGAATTCTATGGAATTTAATATCTCCTACATGTCTGCATGTCACCATTTCACTGACTCTTCCCTAGTTTAAGCCAATATTACATGGGTTGCTGCAATCACCTTTCATTATCCATTCTTATCCCTTCTAATCTATTCTACAATGCAGTCCTGCATATAACTCTTAATGTCTCTTTGTTTCTCTTTGATAAGCTGCATAATTCTAACCAGAGTTTATTAGGCATTATTTGATCTTTTCTGAATAATTTCTTTTTTAGCCACAAGCTTTTGTGGTGTTCATATATATATATATATATAGAATATCACATATATATATATATATATAGACATCCAGGACAATGTTATAGCAAACATCCAGTGCAGTGCAGATGGTCAATAATATTTGTTGAATAAATAGTTGAATAATGAAATCCTATATTTTTTGATCTCTTTAGATGGCTCTACTCTCTGATATTCTCTTACCTTAAAGAAAATCTAGGACAGGTAATCTAGGACAGGTCTAACCCCTCAAAGAAGTTACAGCTCTTTCATCCTAACATGTCTTCCATATTGGTATCTCAACTCAAAGCGTTTTCTGTAAAAGGATCTGGCTGATCTCCCAGATATCAATGTTTAAATCAAGGCAAGGTCTAGCTTCTCTCTGTCTTCATTTTTCTCACTGTCATCCCTCAGCAGTTTGTCCCACCCTCTTTTTTTTCTTTTCTAGTGCTTCTGGATTTTGTATTTTTTAATTTTTACTTTTATGAAGTTAAATCTGTGCATCACGTAGAAAGTCAAATAGCTTCACAAAACTTGTTAAGAAAAACAGCAATTTCCAGCCCTCTAGCCTATTTCCCACACTCCAGAGCAACCACTTACAAAATTTTTAGCTTTCTAAATGGCATGTTTGAACTGCTACTTTTTGACATTTTATTTTTGACCATTATCTATTGATTTCCCACCATGGAAGAAGAGAATTAACTCTTAAACACACACACACACCCCATTACACACCTGTACACTTCCTTTCCCCCTCTTCTCCAATAGTCAAACTCTTTCCACAATTGAGTCATGTAGTCAGCTCAGAGAACTTTTCCTTCCCTGCATATAGTTTTGCTTCCATGGAGTTAGTAATTTTCTTGCTTTAAAATTTGTTTGGTTTCCTATATACTCCTGATTAGTTCAACCCCAAACTCTCCACTAATTGTCTAAAGCTCCTCTCTATACTTTGCAGTAGATATTATACCAATTTCATCTACTGGAAGAAATTTCTCATGGAGTTTTCCTCCCTAGTTTATTCTAGATGGATTGCACCTTGTTCTCAGTGCAGAATATTTGCCCAAGAATCCTTTTTTCTATCATCATGGAGATTCTTCCTGGCTCTTGTTTCTCCATGTTTACCTTGAATACACTTAACCCGGGAAATAAAAAAATAACCTGGGAAGCTAAAAAACCCTGATGCCTAGGTTTCCTCACAGACCGATTAACTCAGAACATTTTGAGACAGAATGCATCATAGCACTGCAGTCAATTCCAATGAATAGCTAACGATAAAAACCACTAGTCCATCTAAATCTTTCTTTGGGTACTTTCTAATTTTGGTGGAGCACATCCTCCAGAAGCTCTGAGAAAGAACACATAAGAGCAAATTTAGATACTTTGCTTTTCTGAACATGCTTTTATTTTATTCTCCACTTGACTTATAACTTAACTAATGTAGAATTCATACTGAAAAATATTTTTTTTTCTCCAAAGTTGTGATGGCATTGCTCCACTGTCTTCTAGCTTTCAACGATACTTTTGAGAAATTGGAAGACATTCTGATTCCTGATCTTTTGCATATAATCTGTGTTTTTCTCTCCCGATGTTGATGGGATCTTTCTCTTGCCTCAGTATTCTAAAAAATGTTTTAATGATTGCCATAGTATGGGTCTATTTTTACCAATTTTCTTGCATATTCATAGCCCCTTCTAATCTTGTAACTTGAGTCTTTTAATTCAGGGAAATTTTCATAAATTTCTCCATTAATGACGACTTCTTCTTCTTCTTCTTCTTCTTCTTTTCTCTCTCTCTCTCTCTTTAATTCTGGAACTCATTTTTTAGACGCTGGATCTTCTTAATCAATACTCTTCTTGACTCCTATACTGTTATTTTCTCTCCTAGTTTCCATTTCTTTTTCTTTCTTTTCTTTTTTTCTTCTTTGAGACAAGATCTGGATCTGTCACCCAGGCTTGAATGCGGTGGTATGATCGTGGGTCAGTGCAGCCTTGACCTTCTGGGCTCAAGCAGTCCTACCACCTGTAAACCAAAAAGTATCTGAGACAGGTCTCAGTCAATTTACTTTATTTTCCCAATGTTAAGGACATGCCTGGAGGAAAGGAACACAGAATCACAAAAACAGTTTGTAGTCTGTGCCTTTCTCCAAAGATGATTGAGGACTTCAGTATTTAAAGGGGAAAAGTGAGCTGAGGGGAAAGAGGGAGGTATGGTTACACTACTGAATCCACATGTTGCAGGAGAAAAGGTGCAGTTGGGGAAAAGTCAATTGTGTATTCATCTGGCACTCAGTAAATTGGCAGTTTACATTACATAAGGTGAACATAGAGTAGCTACCTGTGGAGATATCTAACCTTTTTTCTGTAACTATCTGCTTAGGAACAAAATGAAAGGCAGTTTCTTGCATGACTCAGCTTTCAGCTTAATTTTTACCTCTTGGCACAGTGAATTGAGGTCCTGAGATTTTATTTTCCTTTCACACACCTCAGCCTCCTGGGTAGCTTGGATGATAGACGTGCACCACCTGCCTGGCTCTCAGTTTCCATTTCTAAGTCTTTTTGGTCTATATTATGGGGTGTTGTGTCCTCTCTCCCCTCCCACCCCTATTCATATGTTGAAGTCCTAACCCTAAGTACCTCAGAAGGTGGTATTTGAAGATAGTGTCTTTAAAGAGGTAATAAAGTTAAAAGGAGGTCATTAGGGTGGGTTTAATCTGATATGACTAGTGTCTTTATAAGAAGGGAAATTTGGACACAATCACACACAGTGGAGGGGGTGGGGATGCCATCTGAACATGAAGATAACCACCTACAAGCCAAGGGGAGAAGCCTTCAAAGGAACCAAGCTTCTTGACACCGTGGTCTCAGACTTCGAGCCAGATCTGTGAGAAAATAAATTTCTATTACTTAAGCAACCCAGTCTGTGGCACTTTGTTATTGCAGCCATAGCAAACGAATACAGTTTGCTTTTCAGGACTTTTCTCAACTTGATTTCCCAACATTAATCTTAAATTTTTCTTATATTCACTTTCACATTTTTTATGTTTAAGGTTCTTTTTTGTTCTCTGAATGTTCCTTTTGCAATAGCATCTTGCTCATGTTTCAAGGATACGATATCTTTTCCTGTCTCACCCAGGATGTTTATGGTAGTTTTCCTCTTCATTTTTTCATGTTTCTGCATAGTTTTGGTTTCCTCTAAGTTATCTATTTTGTGTATATGTGTTTGTTTTAGTTTTTGTCTTTCATGGTAACAGTTTTCTTCAGGTATCTGATTGTCTGCTCATATTTAAGAGTAAGGCTATTTTTTTAAAAAAAGCTGATTTGACAGTCTGCCTGGTAGATGGGGGTTATTGACTATGGTCTCATGCCCTTTGTTCTTTAACCCAAGGGGTTGAAAACTGACAACCCACAGGCTGAGTCTGAAACAAACGTGTTTGTGTTTTGTTTTTCAAGTAGATTTGGATTCCTTTAAGTAAGTATGTTACGTTTAACTACCCATCAACCCCACAAATGCTTTTTGATTGCAACTAATTTAAGGTTTAAAACTTTTACCTAACTTTTTTTTTCTTTTATTATAGAGACAGGGCCTTACTATGTTGCCCAGGCTGGTCTGAAACTCCTGGTTTCAAGTGATCCTTCCACCTTGGCCTCCCTGAGTGCTGGGATTACAGCCATGAGCCACCACACCAAACCCCTAACATTTTTTTCTACCAGTCAAAATCTTCCTTATTCTTTTTTTTTTTTTTTTTTTTTATACTTTAAGTTTTAGGGTACATGTGCACATTGTGCAGGTTAGTTACATATGTATACATGTGCCATGCTGGTGCGCTGCACTCACTAACTCGTCATCTAGCATTAGGTATATCTCCCAGTGCTATCCCTCCCCTCTCCCCCCACCCCACAACAGTCCCCAGAGTGTGATATTCCCCTTCCTGTGTCCATGTGATCTCATTGTTCAATTCCCACCTATGAGTGAGAATATGCGGTGTTTGGTTTTTTGTTCTTGCGATAGTTTACTGAGAATGATGATTTCCAATTTCATCCATGTCCCTACAAAGGACATGAACTCATCATTTTTATGGCTGCATAGTATTCCATGGTGTCTATGTGCCACATTTTCTTAATCCAGTCTATCATTGTTGGACATTTGGGTTGGTTCCAAGTCTTTGCTATTGTGAATAATGTCGCAATAAACATACATGTGCATGTGTCTTTATAGCAGCATGATTTATAGTCCTTTGGGGATATACCCAGTAATGGGATGGCTGGGTCAAATGGTATTTCTAGTTCTAGATCCCTGAGGAATCGCCACACTGACTTCCACAATGGTTGAACTAGTTTACAGTCCCACCAACAGTGTAAAAGTGTTCCTATTTCTCCACATCCTCTCCAGCACCTGTTGTTTCCTGACTTTTTAATGATTGCCATTCTAACTGGTGTGAGATGGTATCTCATCGTGGTTTTGATTTGCATTTCTCTGATGGCCAGTGATGATGAGCATTTTTTCATGTGTTTTTTGGCTGCATAAATGTCTTCTTTTGAGAAGTGTCTGTTCATGTCCTTCGCCCACTTTTTGATGGGGTTGTTTGTTTTTTTCTTGTAAATTTGTTTGAGTTCATTGTAGATTCTGGATATTAGCCCTTTGTCAGATGAGTAGGTTGCGAAAATTTTCTCCCATTTTGTAGGTTGCCTGTTCACTCTGATGGTAGTTTCTTTTACTGTGCCTACTCTGGGCCCCACCAAGTTTCATATCCCCATTAGAGCCCTCACCACAGTCTTCCTCATTGTGCGAGATATTTGATGTGTATGTGGGACACTCCATAAGACTACGCATATTGTCTTCTTTGAAGAAAGGACTCTTTTAGGCATATTATTATCTCATACAGTAGCTTTGGTAAATGCTCAATAAAAGGTTTCTTGAAAACCTTCGTGCTCAATCGGGCAGGGGTTGAAGGAAGGAAAAGACAAGGGAGCATAATTTGATTATCTTCCTAGAATGCAACTGCTTGAGTATTTGATTATTAAAATTAGGAACTACAGTTTTTCCACCTAATTAAGCAGCATGCCGGCCAAATGACAATGTGGCTTTAATATACTTTCAGATGATCACACAGATTATAATCTGTTTCACATGATAGAACATTTCTCATGCTGGAACAACAGAAAGAAGGAAAAACAAAGCCACAACATATCTAAGTGAAGAAATATTTCTGCATTTGAAAAGGCAGTTTTTCCTCATTTGTGATTATCTGCTCTTTCAGAACTCAAAGCAGCTAAAGCATAAATCTTGGCACATCTGCCAAGGTGTCTATGTCAAGAAATCATAGTTTGTGGTAAATGTTTTGAAAGCAGTTTTCAGGTATCTGAGGCCTTAGCATTTCTGCTACTTTTGTTTCACTCTGGCCTTAATTATAAAGTATCTTTCATGTTCCTAAGAAGCATGGATTTTTGCCACGCATTGCATCCATTTCCATTTAAAGCTCCAGGACACAATCCACATTCTCCCATCCATTACTGAACTAGGCTTTTTCTTTTTTATTCAGCTACTCATGCTAGCCCAATTAAGCAAGATTAGCTAACTCTTTGTTCCTATTAATCTTTCCCTCCCACGATGATTTGAACATTGTCGTTTTTTAATTATTGAGAAAGCCCTGGGAGTTACCAAATATAGACTCATTCATGTGAACAGTAAACAAAGTATGTTTGGATTCACACAAATTTATGACTCTGGAAAGACCATGAAGAACCAGATGGATTTTAAGCACTGTATCTCCAAGTACTACTCTTAAACTGGATATGGTGATTAAGGGCAGACTGTGGTACAGGTGGCCTGGATTCCCATCTAGCTACTGCTACATACAACTGGGTGGCCTTGGGAATTATTTAGCCTCTCTATAAGCCCCAGACACCATCAGTGAAATGGACAAAATAATTGCATCTACTTCAGAAGATTTTTGTGAAGATCAAACAGAATAATATGCTTGGCACACCTTCTGCAAATATTAGTTGCTTTTTTTTAATTAATGAGAGCAACAAGGCTGAAACAGGGTATCATACAAATTAACTGAAAGAATAATTGTACATAGTTGTAGAAATGTGTTAGACTTCTATACCTGCCAAATACAAAGCTAAAATAAATGTGTTGAATTAAATAAAAATATTCAGAACTTTATGTTTAAACAAATAATTTTTAATACAACATCTGGGAACAAGAGTTATAAAGGAATTGGCAGCAGATGACTTCTAATTCTTTTATTTTTATAATGACAACCTTACAAGTAAAGCAATAAACTGCCAGGTCAAAACCAGTTTTTCAAGAATCTTTTGTTTTCATTACAAACTTAAATTTAATGGGTCCAAAATTCAAATGTCCCCTGCCTCCCAACAGTGTATATCATGGCTCAGTGCAGAGTCAGCCCACTCAGAGTAAGGGGCCCAGCTGAAAATGACAAAGGCCACTGATAACCCAAACTGGACAAAGCAATAAAACTTTGCCTAAGAGAGAATTTGCTTAACAGCTGTTATTTTGGGAGGGGTGAGTGGGGGTCAGGGTTAAAAAAAAAAAGGAATATTTTGAAGGTGGGTGTACTTTACAAAATGTACTTTGCTTTCTGTGTGTTCATTTTGTTTGGTCAAATTTGGTGGTGAGTTTACATATACCATATGCAACAACCTGTGTTGGTTTTCCTAAGTATTGGGATAAACTACTTTATTAAATTAAATCTGAATTAGTTTTTCCTTAACTGTCATTCCCAGAATATTGTTCCTCAACTATTAATAAATATACTAGAAGAAAGTATAATAGCAGAAATAAATTTAAAATAGAGATGTTTACTATGTGTATTTATCAGTACATCCAGTGTTTTACATTAGCACACAAAAAACTCTAACATAGTCTGTAGTGCGGCTGGGTACAGTGGCTCACGCCTATAGTCTCAGCACTTTGGGAGGCCGAGGAGGGCAGATCACGAGGTCAGGAGTTCGAGACCAGCCTGACCAACATGGTGAAACCCCATCTTTACTAAAAATACAAAAATTAGCTGGGTGTGGTGGCGGGTGCCTGTAATCCCAGGTACTCGGGAGGCTGAGGCAGGAGAATCGCTCGAACCCAGGAGGCAGAGGTTGCAGTGAGCCGAGATCGCGCCATTGCACTTCAGCCTGGCAGATAGAGCAAGACTCCATCTCAAAAAAAAAAAAAAAAAAGATAGTATACTCTATAGTGAAGAAGTCTATTTTGGTTTCCTTAATCCAGGAATTATTTGAGGCCGAAATCCATTTTTCCCAGCACACCTTTTAGCATTTTAGGAAACACAGTTTGCAGAATTCCAATTTGGGTATACATTGTTTACATTTGGGCAGGGCCTACCTTGCAATTCATTGAAAAGCTGTCAGGCTGAAAACTGTCAGGGTTCTACATATTAAGATAATAATAATCATTATGATAATAATTAATGATAATAATAATTAGGGAAAATGCTTCTTCCTCACCCCCTACCTTTTTTCCCATGAGGAGGATTTCTCTTCAATACCTCTGGCCTCTTGTCCCACCCTTGACTCCTTCCCTTGGGGAAGAGCTTTTATTAGGGAACAGCCGTTGGCCAATGTTTCTCAGTAGAGTAGAAGTTATGTATCAAAAGTGGAAGCAATAAAAGACATCAAGCCTCTTCTCTTTCCTCTGCATCTGGACCAAGGGTAATTAGTAACCTGGATTAAGTGCGCCTCTAAAGCAAAATTTCCCTCAGGTAAGCTGTTCCAAGCCTGATAATGGGATAGGCACTTAGCAAGCCCATTTTGTTGGTCAAACTAAGTTGTGTCTTGCAACCTAGCCCTTATCATTGATAATGGTGATATTTTAGTTCTCCTTGGAATAATTCTAATTTAACTGGTTCAGAAATTGGGCAACAAAATGAGGTATTATTTTGGGCCTCCTTTCAAAACCTCAATAGCATGTATCATTAATTCTGCATGATCCTTTTAGTGCATTATCTCATTTAATCCTCACAACAACCTATAAAGGTAGACACTAGTATATCCTTATTTTACAAATGAGAAAATTGAAAGAAAGGTTAAGTAACTTACCAGAGGTGACTGATTTTGTCATTCATATAACATGCAAATTATTTAATTGTACTATAACTAGTGCATCTTATAGGATTTTTTTTTTTTACCTCTCAATTCCTCCTCTCTTGCATATATTGATCTATAAGGCCAATCTCAGTTATATGGAATGATGAAGACAGAAAACGTAACCTTGGTCAATGAGTAAGATATTCTAGTAAGGTCTAAATCAGAAATTTCAAATGGACAGCAGCCCACAGATATGTTTCATTTGGCTCCCAAACTGTTAAAGATTTGTATTAGTTATTAATATAAAATATAAATTTAGAGCTTTTCTCAAAAAATGTAAAGATCTGGGTAGCAATGAGCTGGAGCTGAAGAGCTGTTGTCCCCTTTGGATGGGGCATATGCAGCACAGTCACCTTGGGCCCCACTGTGTCACTTGGCTTAACTACTTTGCCTCTATGTGCTCTTGTAAACATTCAATTTGCAGCCCTGGTGCCAGCTAGGTGGCCTCCTACTCCTACCCATTCATTCCTGTAGAATATCAGGGCCATTGCAAGAATTCTGGAGGCTGGATGTCAATGTCTGTGACCAGGCCACTAACTGAATAGTAGGTGTCTTGATGTGCAACAGCTGAGCTATGAGTGGCAGCTCTTCAGAATGGTGCACCATTCAATGTGGGTGCTCATTTCAATCCCTTAAGCAAAAAAGTTCAAGTTGCACCCTGTAGAGACTTCAGGCAGTGAGAAGAGCAGTTGGACTGTCCGGGGTCTGTGTCCACTACACACTTGGTCTGGATCTGCTTTAGGTATAGGATATCTGTGTAAATGTTCTTAAATTATGAGCTCCTGGCCAGGCGTGGTGACTCACACCTGTAATCCCAGCACTTTGAGAGGCTGAGGTGGATCACCTGAGATCAGAAGTTCGAAACCATCCTGGCCAACATGGCAAGACCCTGTCTCTACTAAAAATACAAAAATTAGCCAGACATGGTGGTGCATGCCTGTAATCCCAGCTACTCAGGAGGCTGAGGTAGGAGAATTGCTTGAACCCAGGAGGCGGAGGTTGTGGTGAGCCAAGATCGTGCCACTGCACTCCAGCCTGGGTGACAGAGTGAGACTCTATCTCAAAAAAAAAAAAAAAAATTATGAGCTTCTTGGGCACTAAATATGTTGTGAAACTATTGCCCTTGAGCCTTCTATATTTTCACCTCCCACAGTGACTTTTCTTTCTGTATCAGTGTCTTTTACGCAGTAGTTGCTTAGTAAAGGTTTGTTGAATGAGCAAATGAATAGATAGATTGTGAATTCTAGAGGTGGATTATTGTCCCTCCCTTAAGAAATGTTTATTTGAACAAGTGATAAATACCTCACTGAGGTCTCTTTCCGCCCAGTTGTTAGGATCTGTTCCTCATTCTCATCATCATCTCATCACCAGGATGAGCAAAGCCTTTTCCCATTAAGGTTAGGTATTACCTCTTCCAGGGGATTTTACATTCAAAGGATTCTATAATAGTAACATGAAAAATCTGTCTCCTTTTGTAGGGATATCAAGCATCAGAAAGCAGGTAGTCAACATTTGTATTTGTGGGGCAGCCTGAAGTCCTTCAGGATACCTTTCTCACTCTAAAATCAGGTTTTATGAACCTGAATTTAAAAGCAAAAAAAAAAAATTTAAGTGCAGATTTTCAAAAAAACATGACATATTTAAACATGCACAATCACAAAATCACAGTATATTAGCTGGAGTTGAAAATAACGTTAGAATAAAATCACCAATGCAATTTTCTGTCAGGGAGATCATTGCATTGAAATGCCACCTGTGCCTGAATATTGTAAATATCAATTTGTGGAATGGCTGTACAATGTTAAGTACAGTGCGTTCTTGAAAAAGCTGATCATTGAAAAGTTAACATTGAATTTTAATAAGAGAAATACTTAAATTGTTCTTTAGTGTAACATAAACCTGTTGGAGAGGCATGTTCTGGGAGTAATGGCAAAGTGACACCATTTTTTTTAATTTAAGTTTTGGAATACATGTGCAGAACGTGCAGGTTTGTTACATAGGTATACGTGTGCCATGGTGGTTTGCTGCACCTATCAACCCGTCATCTAGGTTTTAAGCCCCGCATGCATTAGGTTTTTGTCCTAATGCTCTCCCTCCCCATGCCACTGACCCCCCAACAGGTCCCGGTGTGTGATGTTCCCCTCCCTGTGTCAATGTGTTCTCATTGTTCAACTCCCACTTATGAGTGAGAACATGCAGTGTTTGGTTTTCTCTTCCTGTGTTAGTTTGCTGAGAATGACGGTTTCCTGCTTCATCCATGTCCCTGCAAAGGACATGAACTCATCCTTTTTTATGGCTGCATAGTATTCCATGACGGCAAAGTAACACCTTTTTAAATTTTTACTTTCTGATTAAGAATATTCACTCCCACTTTACCAGAATTGGCTTACATTAATTATTTGATTGGGCTGAAAGGTTATATGCAAATCTTTAACAGTCATGTGATTAGAAATGCCTCCCAAGCTGCCAAAGGTGCTGAAATAATCTAAGTAACTCAAACCAGAGATTTTTTATCTTGGGATTTCTTAAGGAATGTGCCATTCAGGACATTCAAATATTCAGTGAATAACTTTCTCAAATGTTACTGAAGTACTTACTGAGAGCCATTTTAAAGTTGGAAATAGGCTGGGTGTGGTGGCTCACACCTGTAATCCCAGCACTTTGGGAGGCTGAGGCAGGAGAATAGCTTCAGCCCAGGATTTGAAGACCAGCCTGAGAAATACAGTGAGACCCAGTCTCTAAAAAAAATGTAAAACTTAGCCAGGCTTGGTGGCACTCACCTGTAGTCCCAGATGCTCAGGAGGCTGAGATGGGAGGATTGCTTGAGCCCAGGAGTTTAAGACCTCCTCTCCACAAAAAGAAATTTAAAAATTAGGCAAGCATAGTGGTGTGCACCTGTAGTTCCAGCTATTCAGGAGGTTGAGGCAGGAGGATTGCCTGAGCCTGGGACACTGAGGCTGCAGTGAACTATGAGTGGGCGATTGCACTCACCTGGGCAACAGTGAAACCCCATCTTTAAATTTTTTTTAAAAAAAATTCTTAAATAAAGTTGAAAATATCATAATAGTAATTAACACAAACATGGGGTTTGAATAGCATTATTTTAAAGTGCACTAGACTTGGACAGCTAAAGAAAAACAGCTGGGCAGTTCCTAAAGGTTAAAGGCCCGGGAAATTTAAAGAAATTTGTTATTCCATCTTCCTTTAATAGAGGGAAAATCAGCCTCAAATAAGCATTCAGCTAAGGATCTAATTAGTCGCCTGGGACTATACTGAGCACTGGCAACTGAAGAGAGCATGGGTAGAGTGTTCCCATCACCAGGTAGCCCCCTACTTACAGTCAGGGCAGACATTAGCTAACCCAACCAGCCTTTCCAACACTCTTCTCACTTCCTGCTTCTACTACAAAGGCTGGCAAAGCTAAATACTCACTTTCTTGACCCACCCCACCTTGCATTTAGGAACAGCCAAGTGACACAGTTTAGACCAATGAGGCAACAGCAAGTGTTGTCTAGGATTTGGGCAAAGTTATTTTTTTAAATCTTTTTCTTATAAAAGCAATGGTTGCAACCATTTTCTCCTTTTCATTTCCCTTGTCTGGGGCTTTGGAAGCAATTTTGTGACATTGAATCTCCTAAGCAATGCCAGAGGCTCCTTCCTCGTGGTTACAGCACTGTGAAAATATTTATTTGCAGCTAAAATACATGGTTGAAGAATAGTAACACCTTTTCTTTGCGGTTTTTAGCCTATTTGAAATAACATTTCAGTAGATGGATTTCTCTGTCTCGGGGGAAAAAAGTAGTCTTTCAACATACTGCTTGAGGTAGCATGGCTGGTCCCGCTCTCACCCTGGAAAAATGCATCTGAAGGTCCCTGCAGTTCATTCATTACACAATCTTCTTCAGGAGTTTTCCTCTTGTGGTTGGTGTGCGATTTTCTATAGTTCCCTTCACTTTCATCTGAACAAAATGTTATTTTGATTTATGACATTATTCATCTGAGATCTGCCCATTCTTGCTTTTTCACAGAGGCTTTATCATATTTTTTTATATCTTAGATAGGAAATATAGTCCTCTGATTCATAATGAAACAGTATAGAAATTAATACAGTAAAAAGTCTTCTTCTCATTGTTAGGTCCAAGTGTTAAAAAATATTGTCAGATATTCCTCTTTTCAGTAAAACTATTAGCCACATGGTAATTGCAAAACAAAGAAAAAGATGTCTCAAGCCTACCAATCCCTGAATCCAATTTGCTCCCCTTATCCTCAACCATTTTATTAGTTTCTTATTTATCACAGAGATTTTTGTTTAGTTTCAAGATGTTTATTTTGAAAAATACACTTGTTTATATGTATGCATCTTTATATCTAGTAGCTAGTCAGTATTAATTCTTTGTCATATCCTGTAGGTTGACAGTATTTAGTTGATACCAATTCTCTTTTAGACCTCATGCCCAACACTTCTTTTCTTTTTTTTTTATTTCCAACTTATATCTTAAGTTCAGGGATACATGTGCAGGATGTGCAGATTTGTTACATGGGTAAACGTATCACAGAGATTTTAAATTCAAATACAAGATAATGCGAATGTGCACTCTTCTCTCTTTCCTACACAAAGGTTAGCCTACACATGTTGCTGTGAACCTTGCTTTCTTTGTGTAACCATATATCTTGGAGCCATTCCATATCCGTGCATGGTGTCCACATGTTTCTAGTGACAAAGTAGTACTCCCGTTCTTGAATGTCCGTGAGCTACTTAACCTGTCTTCTTTTGCTGGACACTTGGACCATTTCCAACAAACACTGCTGTAACAACCTCATACATACATCATCTTGCACGAGGGAGGGAATATTCATAGGATAAATACCCAGAAGTGACCTTGCTAAGTCAAAGGGTAAATGCAGAAAGGGGTCCCGATCCAGACCCCAAGGGGTTCTTGGATCTTGTACAAGAAAGAATTCAAGGCAAATTCAGAGCAAAGTGAAAGCAAGTTTATTAAGAAAATAAAGGAATAAAAGAATGACTACTTCATAGGCAGAGCAGCCCCGAGGGCAGCTGATTGCCCATTTTTATGGTTATTTCCTGACTGTATGCTAAAGAAGGGGTGGGTTATTCATGCCTCCCCCTTTTAGACCATATAGGGCAACTTCCTTTCATTGCCATGGCATTTGTAAATTGTCATGTCACTGGTGGGAGTGTAGCAGTGAGGATGACCAGAGGTCACTTTGGTTGCCATCTTGGTTTTGGTGGGTTTTAGCTGGCTCCTTTACTGCAATCTGTTTTATCAGCAAGGTCTTTATGACCTGTATCTTGTATTGACTTCCTATGTCATCCTGTGACTTAGAATGCCTAATGATCTGGGAATGCAGCTCAGCAGGTCTTAGCCTAATTTTATGTAGCCCCTATTCAAGATGGCATTGCCCTGGTGCAAATGCTTCTGACAGTTGTAATTCTGATCATTGGTGTCAAATTGCTCTCTAAAGGAGTTGTACCAATTTATATTCCCACTAGCAACATATGAATGTACCTGAAGGGAAACTTTTAGATTTTACCAATTCACTATGTGAGAGACGGTATCTTGATATAGTTTTAATTTGGATTTATTTTATTATGAGGAATAAACATTTTTTTAATGTAATTTCATTTCATTTTACATTCTGGGATACATTTGCAGGACATGCAGGTTTGTTACATCGGTAAACGTGTGCAATGGTGGTTTGCTGCACCTATCAATCCATCACCTAGGTGTTAAGCCCCACATTCATTAGCTATTTATCCTGATGCTCTCCCTCCCCCATCCCCCACAACAGGCCCCAGTGTGTGTTTTTCCTCTCCCTGTGTCCATGTGTTCCCATTGTTCAGCTCCCACTTACTAGTGAGAACATGTGGTGTTTGGTTTTCTGTTCCTGTGTTAGTTTGCTGAGGATAATGGCTTTCTGCTCCATCCATGTCCCTGCAGAGGAGATGATCCCATTCCTTTTTATGGCTGCATAGTATTCCATGGTGTTTATGTACCACATTTTCTTTATCCAGCCTATCATTAATGGGCATTTGGGTTGATTCTATGTCTCTGCTATGTGAATAGTGCTGCAACAAGCATATACGTGTTTGTGTCTTTATAATATAGAATTATTCATATTCCTCTGGGTATATACCCATATTGGGATTGGTGGACCAAATGCTATTTCTGGTTCTAGGTCTTTGAGGAATCACCACACTGTCTTCCACAATGATTAAACTAATTTACATTCCCACCAACAGTGTAAACGCATTCCTATTTCTTCACAGCCTCACCAGCATCTGTTGTTTCTTGACTTTTTAATAATCACCCTTCTGACTGGCATGAGATGGTATGTCATTGTGGTTTTGATTTACATTTCTCTAATAATCAATGATGTTAAGCTTTTTATCATACGTTTTTTGACCATATAAATGTGTTCTTTGGAGACATGTCTGTTCATGTCCTTTGCCTAGTTTTTAATGGGGTTGTTTGGTTTTTTTTTTCTTGTAAATTTGTTTAACTTCCTTATAGATTCTGGATATTAGACCTTTGTCAGATGGATAGATTGCAAAAATTTTTTCCCATTCTCTAGGTTGTCTGTTCACTCCGATGACAGTTTCTTTTACTTGCAGAAACTCGAGTTTAATTAGATCCTGTTTGTCAATTTTTGCTTTTGTTGCAATTGCTTTTGACACTTTCATCATGAAATCTTTGCCCATGCCTGTGGGAACTACAATTCAAGATGAGATCTGGGGGGGACACAGCCAAACCATATCAAATGGGGAAAGGATTC